>NC_000017.11:4582020-4733535 GCF_000001405.40 Homo sapiens | reverse complement strand
GAATGAAGAAGTATGTATTTTCATTAGGCCAAGTCTGCGGGAAGGCTGGGGCAGCAGCATGAAGTGTTTGAGGAAGTGGGTTGGGTATGTCAGTTTCCATCTCCTCTCTGAGCCTGTCAGGGTGTTTCTGGAGTGCAGAGCAGGAGCACCCTGCTGGAGAGGCCAAAGCATAGCTGTGGGCAGGCTCGGGCTTCAGTTTTTCCATGCCCACCATTTGCCCCTTTGTCCTAGGGTACTTTGACCAGCAGGGTATGTTGGTGCTCATACTCCCCACCCTACATGTTCCCAGGTTCTGTCCCATGGCACAGGTGATGGTCTCCCTCTCAGCTCTGGGTCCATCTCCCTGGCCTAGTTCTCCAGCATCTGCTCACAGGTTCGAGCCACATCACTGAGCTTGAGGCGGGCATAGTCCACTCGCTTCAGAGCCATCTGACAGTCCTTCCTCGAAGAGTAGCTGGAGCCCTCATGGGGCTGCCCTGTGGCCACCTACAAGACAGACTATCAATGGAGCACCATCTCCTTTACCCTAACTCCAACCAGGCATCAGGTCTCGTCTCATTTCTTCCCTGAGTTTGAATTTGTTAGGCCATCTGGTAGCTGGGTAAATAAATCATTTAACTTATGTTAATCTTGTCTGTAAAATGGGGGTGACAATAACTACTTCCTAGAGTTGTTGAGGATTAGATAAAGTAATGCAGAGTATCTGGCACACCGTAAAAATTAGTAATGGTAGTGGTCCCTGCGACGATTTCAGAACCTTCTCAATCCTGTCCCTCTTCTCAGGATATAAGGATTTGGGACCTCGTGGCCTGGAGGTCAGGCCAAGTTTCCAGTGACAAAGTTCTGTAGTTCTAGCATTATTTACACATCTTCTGCTAGGCACATGTGATGTTACCCAGTGAGGTATGCAGGGCCACCTTTAATTCTTTCATTTTATTATTTATTATTTTTTGAGACAGAGTTTTTGCTCTGTTACCCAGGCTGGAGTGCAATGGCATGATCTCGGCTAAGTACAACAACCTCCGCCTCCTGGGTTCAAGCGATTCTCCTGCCTCAGCCTTCCAAGTAGCTGGGGTTACCGGTACTCACCACCAAGCCCGGCTTTTTTTTTTTTTGAGACAGTCTTGCTTTGTCACCCAGGCTGGAGTGCAGTGCTGCAATCTTGGCTCACTGCAACCTCCACCTCCTGGGTTCAAGCGATTCTCCTGCCTCACCCTTCCAAGTAGCTGGGATTACAGGTGCCCGCTACCAGCCCAGCTAATTTTTGTATTTTTAGTAGAGACGGAGTTTCACCATGTTGGCCAGGCTGGTCTCGAACTCCTGACCTCAGATGATCCACCCGCCTCAGCCTCCCAAAGTGCTGGGATTACAGGAGTGAGCCACCGAGCCTGGCCTAATTTTTATATTTTTAGTAGAGACGAGGTTTCACCGTGTTGGCCAGGCTGGTCTCGAACTCTGTCAAGCCACTGCGCCCGGCCCATTCTTTCCTTTTAGAGGAAGAAACCCGCTCTGGATGGCCGGCTGGGGAGGTCTGGTCCTGCCCAGTTAATGCTCCACCCTGGATCACCCAAGCCTGAGGCTTTGACCCAGAGCTGGGGTTCGCTCGCAGAACCCCCCAGACACACCGACCTGGGTGAGGTAGCGGATCTGAGCTGACAGCTCCGCCTCCACGTGTTGCACTGAAGCGGTGAAGGCCGCCGCCTGCCGGTCTAGGAGCCGCTCGTTAGTTTTTTCCTTGGACAATTCTAGGATCACAGTACCTGCCAGGGCGGAGAGAGGGCGGGGACACACGGAGACTGCCAGTGTAGCCTCTCCCTAGGCCAGCCCCTCTCAGTCCCGCCCTTTCGCTGCGCACGCACGTAGGATTCCCTCCCCAACCCTGCTCCAAGTCCCAGGTCAGGCTGCCAGTGCAGCCCGGTCACGCTTTCGCTCCCCGCTGTCCAGGTTGTCGCATCCCGAACCTGCATTCTGAAGGATGGCGCCGATTTCCCGTTCAATGTCTTCCAGAGCGCGTAGTCTCTCGTTCGCCAGGCTGTAGGTAGCCATTATCACTCTGGGAATTCTCACCAAGAGTTTCTCCTCAGAAACGCGACGCTTGTTCCGGAAGTGGCTCTCGGTGTGCGCCTGCGCAGAGGGCACCGTGTAGCGAGCACTACGATTCCCAGGATGCTCAGCGCAGCCTCGCCTCCTCGGTCCGCTTGATGAACTACAACTCCCAGGGCCCGCTGCGCCTCAGCCACAGGACCACCCGTAGTCAGAGGCGACAGTGGAATATCCCCTAGCCCGAGGCCATTCAGACCTGTCCATCTTCTTGACACTGTCTGTGGCCTCTAGTTTATTCTACACAAGTTTATTTATTTATGAGACAGTCTTACTCTGTCGTCCAGGTTGGAGTGCAGTCGCAAGATCTCCCTCCCTGCAACCTCCACCTCCCAGGTTCAAGCGATTCTCCTGCTTCAGCTTCCCGGGTGCCTGGGATTATAGGCGCCCGCCACCACGCCCGGCTGATTTTTGTATTTTTAGTAGAGACGGGGTTTCACCATGTTGGCCAGGTTGGTCTCGAACTCGACCTCAAGCGATCCACCCTCTTCGGCCTCCCAAAGTGCTGGGATTACAGGCGTGAGCTGAATCTTAAAGGTGAACTACGTGGATGAAAGCTTGTAGTGGAAAAGGGAGACGGCATAGGCAACAGCATGGTGCTGTGACGGGAACAGCGCATGTGGAGTCCAGCAAGGGATTCTGCCTGCCTGGAGTGAACGGAGCGTGGTGGGGGTTAGGTATGACAATGGTGAGGCTGGAGAGAGGAGCGGAATCAGGAAAAGGCTTGCAAGCTATGTACTTTGGACTTGAGTCTGAAGACATTTGAGCCTTTAAAGGGTTTTTAAGAAGTGTGTTATGACCAGAATTACCTTTTTTGGAAAGATCGTTTGTAACAGTTTATAGTAGATTATCAAGAATGAAACTAGTTTGCCCAAGGTTAGCACATGAAGGTTAGACTCAGTTAAACTGAATGGTCTAGCCTGGGGAACATAGTGAGATACTGTCTTTATAAAAAAATTTGGGGGCTGGGCATGGTGGCTCACTCCTGTAATTTCAGCTCTTTGGGAGGCTGAGGTGGGAGGATCACTTGAACTAAGGACTTCGAGACCAGCCTGGGCAATATAGTGAGACCCCATCTCCTATATTTAAAAAATAAAGGCTGGGTTTGGTGGCTCACACCTGTAATCCCAGCACTTTGGGAGGCCGAGGCGGGTGGATCACCTGAGGTCAGGAGTTCGAGACCAGCCTGACCAACATGGAGAAACCCCGTCTCTACTAAAAATACAGAATTAGCTGGGCATGGTGGCGCATGCCTGTAATCCCAGCTACCCAGGAGGCTAAGGCAGGAGAATCACTTGAACCTGGGAGGCGGAGATTGCGGTGAGCTGAGATTGCGCTGTTGCACTCCAGCCTGGGCTACAAGAGTGAAACTCCATCTCTAATAAATAAATAAATTCAAATAATTTTTTAAAAAGTATAAATTAAAAATTAAAAAAAATAGCCAGTCTTGGTGGCTGATGCCTGTATTCCCAGCTTCTTGGGAGGCTGAGATAGGAGGATTTCTTGAGCCTGAGAGGTCGAGGCTGCAGTGAGCCATGGATTGTGCCACTGCACTCCAGCCTGGGTGACAGAACGCGACCCTGCCTCAAAAAACAAAAAACTTGATGGGTCTGGCATTTGACTTAATCCTTCCCTAAATGCTAATAAAATAACAGAAAGTTGCTTTTTTTAAAAAATTTTATTTTTTGAGACAAGGTCTCACTCTGCTGCCCAGGCTGGAATGCAGTGGCTCAGTCATGGCTCACTGCAGCCTTAAACTCCCATACTCAAGTGACCTCTCACTTCAGCCTTCTGAAGAGTCAGGACCATAGATGTGTGCTACCACATCTGGCTAATTTTTAATTTTTTTTGTAGAGACAGGGTCTCATTGTGTTGCCTATGCTGGTCTTGAACTCCTGGACTCAAAGGATCCTCCTGCCTTGGCCTCCCAAAGTGCCAGGATTTCAGGTGTGAGCGTACTGTGCCTGGCCTAAAGTTGTTTTAAAAAGGAGTCAAAGGGAGAGGAGTTAATAGCAAAACTTTAGACAGATGCTGGAAAACAGACTCATTTTGCAGTGAGGTGGTAACTAAGCCAGCAGCAAAGAAAGCTTACAAGCAACCTGATTTACCATGAAATTAGTAGCATCGCTTACAGCTGGGGTGAAAGTGGTACTAAAATTAGGAGGATTATTTGAAGTTAGACCTCCAGATCTCTTTATTGACTCTATATATCTTGGCAACCGATCTCCCCCAACCCATCAGAATACTGGAGTTTGTCGGAAATGGAAAACAGGTTTTTTAGCTTAGAGAGCACCTGAGTACAGTTGAGGGCAAGGGTACTGCGTTGAAAACAGAGATTAAGCCGGCCGCGGTGGCTCACGCTTGTATTCCCAGCACTTTGGGAGGCCTAGGCGGGTGGATCACCTGAGGTCAGAAGTTCGAGACCAGCCTGGGCAACATGGTGAAACCCCCGTCTCTACTAAAAATACAAAAAATGAGCCGGGCGTGGTGGCGGGTGCCTGTAATCCCAGCTACTTGGGAGGCTGAGGAGGTTGCAGTGAGCCGAGGTTGTGCCACTGCACTCCAGCCTGGGCAACAGAGTGAGACTCAGTCTCCAAAAAAGAAAAACAGAGATTAAGTGAAAGTTTAGGGCCAGGTGAGTTGGCTCATGCCTGTAATTCTAGCGCTTTTGGAGGCCAAGGCAGGAGGATCACTTGAGCCCACGAGTTTTAGACCAGCCTGGGCAACATAGTGGGACCCTAACTCTACAAAAAGTATAAAAATAGTCCCAGCCACTTGGAGGGGCCTGAGGTGGGAGGATTGCTTGAGCCTGGGAGTTGAGACTGCAGGGAGTCCTCATCACGCCTCTGCTCTCCAGCCTGGGTGACAGAGTGAGACCCTGTATCCAAGAAAAAACAAAAACAAAAACGAAAGTTTATATAGTGAGTGGTAGTTTCCAGAACTCCAGCACAAGGCTTATACTTTCCAGGTAAGAGACTGGAAGACTCTTCTCTGGGGAATTTGGTAAGTGAGAAAAGACCTTACGATGTGAACGTCAGGGGTTCTCCAACCAGTCAGTTGGCCAGATCACCTCATACTGAAACTCACAGTTGGCAAGTCCCAACTGTGTACATGGAAATTCTAGTCAACTTCTTGGCACCTCACTCTTTTTTTTTTTTTTTTAGTTTCTTGAGATAGGGCCTCTCTGTGTCACCCAGGCTAGAGTGCAGTGGCGCAATCATAGGTCATTGTAGTCCTGAACTCCTGGGCTCAAGTGATCTTCCTGTCTCAGCCTCCTGAGTAGCTGGGACTGCAGATGTGAGCCACCATGTCAAGCTAAGCACCCGCTCTTAAATGTGAGCAGAAAGCAAAAATTTCTAGGTATGTAAAGAAACTTTCTAACATGAAAGACAGAAACCAAAATAAAAAGGGGGAGGTGGGGACAACTGTTGAAGCTTTTAGGTAAGAGATAGTATAAAACATGATTGAATCCGAAAAAGCATCCTTGGCTGGGCATGGTGGCTTATGCCTGCAATCCCAGCACTTTTGGAGGTCGAGGCGGGAGGATCACTTGAGGTCAGGAGTTCAAGGCCAGGGTCGGTATAGAGCTTTTCATTCCAGAGTCAGGCTCTCAAGGTAATTGGCAGAGAGCAATGCCAACATTTTATTGAAAGTAGATGTTGTTGCTATTGTTTATGTGTCCAGTAGGGTTGGTCCTGAGGGAATTTAAATGATGGTGCTACATTTCTTGATCCCTTCCTCCACAAACATTATTTTCAGAAGACTAGAAGGTATCAGTAACACTGCAATTTGGAGCAAGACTCCATCTCAAAAACAAAACAAACAAACAAACAAAACACCCTTGAAAAATCAAACCATGAGGGAAGTAATGAAAAAAATCTGTCACACAAGCCAGGTGTGGTGGCTCATGCCTATAATCCCAGCACTTTGGGAGGCCGGGACTGGCGGATCACCTGAGGTTGGGAGTTGGAAACCATCCTGGCCAACATGGTGAAACCCCATCTCTACTAAAAATACAAAAATTAGCTGGGCGTGGTGGCACGCATCTGTAGTCCCAGCTACTCAGGAGGCTGAGACAAGAGAATCGCTTGAACATGGGAGGCGGAGGTTGCAGTGAGCTGAGATTGCACCATTGCACTCCAGCCTGGGCGACAGAGCGTGACCCTCTCTCAAAACAAAAAAAACAAACAAAAACAAAAATCATGAAGTTGCCAAATAAGCATGTTTAGAGATAGGGAGGTAAATGCCAAAATAAACATCTAAAGGTGGTGAAAGTAGGCCAGGTGTAGCCTGAGCAACGTGAGGATACTCCATCTCTACAAAAAATAAAAAAACTGGCCGGGCGCGGTGGCTCACGCCTGTCATCCCAACACTTTGGGAAGCCACGGTGGGTGGATCACCTGAGGTCAGGAGTTCAAGACCAACCTGGCCAACATGGTGAAACCCCGTCTCTACTAAAAATATAAAAACTAGCTGGGCATGGTGGTGGACACCTGTAATCCCAGCTACTCGGGAGGCTGAGGCAGGAGAATTGCTTGAACCTAGCAGACGGAGGTTGCAGTGAGCCGACACAGTGCCACTGCACTCCAGCCTTGGCGACAGAGTGAGACTCTGTCTCAAAAAAACAAATTAATAAAATAATCAAAAAAGTTAAAAAAACTAGCTGGGCATGGTGGCTTGCACCTGTAGTCCCAGTTACTTGGGAGGCTGAGGTGGGAGGATCTCTTCAGCCTGGGGCATCGAGGAGGCTGCAGTAAGCTGTGATCATGCCAAGGGTGACAGAGCAAGACCCTGTCTCAAAAAAAAGGTGGTGAAAGTAGTTGCCTCTGAGGAGGAGGAAATTAGAGTGGGAAGGGTCTGCTTTTTATTGTAATAGGTCTTGTAGTACTATCTGATTCTTTATATGTATATATAACTTTGAAAACAAAAAGTAAAGAAAGAATGAAGAGTGAGAGAGGGCTGGGTGCAGTAGCTCATGCCTGTAATCCCAGCACTTTGGGAGTCCGAGGCGGGCGGATCATGAGGTCAAGAGTTCGAGACCAGCCTGGCCAACATGGTGAAACCCTGTATCTACTAAAAATACAAAAATTAGCTGGGTATGGTGGTGGGTGCCTGTAATCCAAGCTACTCAGGAGGCTGAAGCTGGAGAATCACTTGAACCCAGGAGGCGGAGGTTACAGTGAGCTGAGATCTCACCATTGCACTCCAGCCTGGGTGACAAGAGCGAAAATCTGTCTCAAAAAACAAAACAAAACAAAACCAAAGAAGAGAGGAAATAAAAAAGAGACGTAAGTGTAGAGGAGAGTGTTTTGTTTGGTTTGTCCTTTCCTTCTTCCTCTTTTTTTTCTTCCTCCCTCCTCTTTCCTTAAATGGAATAGACTTATGTGGGCTTATTTACCATGGAGGAAGAGCCATAGACACAGGTAGGAGAGGGGTGTGGTTTGGTGAATCAAGGTCTCAATGGAGGTGGGAGGACAGCAATCTGAGCACAGGTGGAGGGATTAGCTTTGAACTGGAGAAGGCATCTTAACCTTGGTTGTGTAGGAGAATTGGTGTAGATGTCACTGTTTGTCAGTAGGAGGTGGGAAATTGAAATTATTCATCCTTCATTGCCTAATCTCTGTGAAAAACAGAAGTCACTTTGAGCATGAGGAAGGTAGAAAATTAGTGCGTAGGTAGCTGGGCGTGGTGGCTCACGCCTGTAATCCTACCACTTTGGGAGGCTGAGGCGGGCAGATCACCTGAGGTCAGGAGTTTGAGACCAGCCTGGCCAACGTGGTGAAACCTCGTCTCTACTAAAAATACAAAAATTAGCCAGGCATGGTGGCGGGCGCCTGTAATCCCAGCTACTTGGGAGGCCGAGGTGGGAGAATCGCTTGAACCGGGGAGGCAGAGATTGCAGTGAGCCAAGGTCGTGCCATTGTACTCCAGCCTGGACAACAAGAGTGAAACTCCACCTTAAAAAAAAAAAAAAAAGAATTAGTGCATAGGATGGGAGCAGGAGAGGGAGGTAACCAGGGACATGGAGAGAGACAAAAGCTTATCGGGTGTTGGGGGCCCACCTTGGGTTAGAGACCATATATTTTTAGCAGCCCCAGATTCATACCTAGTGTCTGGTACCTAGAATGAGTTCAAAAAAGTTTGTTGGCCAGGCGCGGTGGCTGATGCCTGTAATCCCAGCACTTTGGGAGGCTGAGGCAGGTGGATCACATGAGGCCAGGAGTTCGAGACCAGCCTGGCCAACGTGGTGAAACCCCATCTTTACTAAAAAATACAAAAATTAGCCAGGTGGGGTGGCGGGCACCTGTAATCCCAGCTACTCAGGAGGCTGAGGCAGGAGAATCGCTTGAACCCGGGAGGCGGAGGTTGTGGTGAGTCGAGATTGGGCCACTGCATTGTAGCGTGGGTGACACAGCGAGAACTCTGTCTCAAAAACAAAATGTGTTGAATGAACAAGCAAGTGGTTGTATGAGCACCAACCCCTGTGTTCAGAGCAGAGAAGGGAGATAGTTGGATGGATCCAGGCTGTGGATTGAGAACAGGATTGTGAATGGAGGGTGGAGTGTGCTGATGAGATAGGGGTTGATATGGTGACCTTGAAGTATAGGCTGGAAAGAAAAGGAAGTGTCAAGTAGTGAGAAAACAGAAGGGCCAAAAGCTTTGTGACAAAACACCCAATCAGCTGGTTTTTTTGTTTGTTTGTTTGTTTTTGAGACGGAGTCTCGCTCTGTCACCCAGCCTGGAGTGCAGTGGCACCATCTCGGCTCACTGCAAGCTCCACCTCCCGGGTTCACACCATTCTCTTGCTCAGCCTCCCGAGTAGCTGGGACTACAGGCACCCGCCACCCCGCCTGGCTAATTTTTTGTATTTTTAGTAGAGACGGGGTTTCACCGTGTTAGCAGGATGGTCTCGATCTCCTGACTTTGTGATCCGCCTGCCTCGGCCTCCCAAAGTGCTGGGATTACAGGCATGAGCCACCGCGCCTGGCCATAAGCTGTTTTTTTTTTTTTTTTTTTTTTTTTTGTGTGGCTATTATAACTGACTACATGAAAATAAATATAAAAAATTTTCCTAGTGTATGAACCTAAAAAGCAAAAAGAATTTTTTTTTTTTTCTGAGATGGAGTTTTGTTCTTGTTGCCCAGGCTGGAGTGCAGTGGCACAATCTCAGCTCACTGCAACCTCCACCTCCAGGGTTCAAGTGATTCTCCTGCCTCAGCCTCCCGAGTAGCTGGGATTACTGGCGCCCGCCACCATGCTCAGCTAATTTTTTGTATTTTTAGTAGAGACGGGGTGTCACTATGTTGGCCAGGCTGTTCTCGAACTCCTGACCTCAGGCGATCCACCCGCCTCGGCTTCCCAAAGTGCTGGGATTACAAATCACAGGTGTGAGCCACTGCGCCCGGCCTTAAGAAAGACAATTTAAAAAAATTTATCTGTTATTGAAAATACAGGAAGCCAAATGTTTGGAAGTAGACAGAGGGGATTGTTGTACAACATTGTGAGTATACTAAATGCCATTGAATTAGACTATTTATTTATTTATTGAGAGAGAGTTTTGCTCTTGTCGCCCAGGCTGGAGTGCAATGGCGAGACCTTGGCTCTATAAAAATACAAAAATTAGCCAGGCATGGTGGCACGTGCCTGTAATCCCAGCTACTCGGGAGGCTGAGGCAGGAGAACGGCTTGAACCCGGGAGGCGGAGGTTGCAGTGAGCTGAGATTGCGCCATTCCACTCCAGCCTGGGTGACAAAGTGAGACTCCATCTCAAAAAAAGATAATAATAAATAAGTTAATTAAATAAATAAAAAGGGCAGTTTCTCAAAGTGTGTACTAATTAAAAATCCGGATTTTTGGATTCTTCTTGGGACCTTGTGACTCAGAATCGGGAAAGGTGGAGCCCAACTCTGGATTTTTACCATGGCACCCCGAGGGTTCTGATTCTCCTGAAAAAAATTTGAGATCGGCCAGGCGCGGTGGCTCACGCCTGTAATCCCAGCACTTTGGGGGGCCAAGGTGGGCGGATCAGGAGGTCAGGAGTTCGAGACCAGCCTGGCCAGTATGGCGAAACCTTGTCTTTACTAAAAATACAAAAATTAGCCAGGCGTGGTGGCGTGTGCCTGTAGTCCCAGTTACTCGGGAAGCTGAGGCAGAAGAATTGCTTGAACCTGGGAGGCAGAGGTTGCAGTGAGCCAAGATAGCACCATTGCATTCCAGCCTGGGTGAGAAAGCAAGACTCCATCTCAAAAAAAAAAAAAAAAAAATTGAGATACCTGGGCTTAGAGGTCAAGGAGCAGGTGCACGGGAGTCGGAGGGATGCTGGAGATGGTATTAGGCGGGATGGTTCTTCCGTTCTTCCGCATGAGAAAGTCCAGGTTCTGCAGGGGAGGCTGCCGCCGTGGCGGGGTAAGCAAGGTCACGGGCCTTTTGGCAGTACTTAAAGCTTGTGGGTAAATGGCGATTTAACTAGAAGTCACGAGTCATAACATAGACTAAAGGCCTGTGCGAGCTGTCCCCATCTGGCTCAGCAGCCAGAAGGAACTACTTTGCCTCTGGCTGTCTCTGTCCCAGTCTCTCTGGCCTCTTTAGGTCCCAGATGTGTTGTTTCCTCCTGCCTTCACACGACACTGCCATTGCCCAGAATGCTCATCCCTGGACGGTCCCCGAACTCCCCTCATCTTTCACTTCTCTGCTTAAAGGTCACTTTCTCAGGGAAATCTTCCCCAAACCCAACCTAGCTCAGAACTCCCTGTCACGCGTTCTCCTGGCTCCAGTACTTCTCCTCTGAAGCAAAGATATTGTAGTTAAATAACTAGGGAGGCCTGGCGCGGTGGCTCACACCTGTAATCCCAGCACTTTGGGAGGCCGAGGCGGGTGGACCACTTGAGGTGAGGAGTTTGAGAACAGCCTGACCAACATGGCGAAACCCCATCTCCACTAAAAATACAAAAATTAGCCGGGAGTTGTGGCGGGCGCCTGTAATCCCAGCTACTCCGGAGGCTGAGGCAGGAGAATCACTTGTACCTGGGAGGCGGAGGTTACAGTGAGCCGAGATGGCACCATTGCACTCCAGCCTGGACGACAGAGCAAGACTCTGTCTCAAAAGAAAAAAAAAAAAAAGGGAATGAATTAATGTGTTTTTGTTGTTGTTGTTGTTGTTGTACTGCTATACTATGCCTGGTACTTTGTAGGGACTCAAATCCAGATTGTTTGTGGAATGCATGAAGGAGCTTTAGGAGAAAGATTGGGCTTCAGGAGTGGAAGCAGATGATGGAGGTGAGAAATGTTCGTGGAGTGATGCTACCTCCCTCCAGCCCAGCCTGGGGCTTCGGTCAAGCCTCAGGGAGTCCCTGATGAATATCCCATGAACAGCACTAAGATGTGGTCCCTAGGACAGGGGCCCACGGCAGCATGACGTTCTTGCTGCCCAAGCCTCAGCTTCTGTGTTAGAATGTAGGTACCAGACTCCAGAGACGTCACGTGGCTTGTCTGGTGAGGCCTGCGGTTGTGGCACCGCTGAGCCACAGGAGCAGATGGCTCGAGCAGCCATAAGGAGCAGTGGAAATGAACGCGACTCGGTCACAACAGGTCACAGGTGGTCATGTGCGTCGGCCGCAACAGGGAAGGGCCTGCCCTGGCTAGCTCCCGTGAGCATCTGTGTGCAGGCGAGTTAGTTTAGTTACTGTGACCTCTAGAAATGACTAAGTTCACTTTGTGGCCTTATCAAGCCTCACCCTTGAGTTTGGACTAAGTCAAGTTTTGATGTTTACCCTGGAACACAGCCACAGCACAGTCATCCAATAAACATTTGCTGATAGCCTCCGTGTCAGGTGGCTTTTGGGTGCAGAAGAGAGACTGGGTCCTCCCCCACAAGCTAACAGAATCATGGATAAGCACACCATACACTCTCTAAACACTACAGAGAAAACACACACTCATGCTTAGTAAAAGATTTATTTTCTTCTTTATGCTCAGAAACAAAGAAACGGCCTTGTCCCCAAAGGGTCTCCTCTTGAAGGAATGGGGGCAGAGAGAGTGATAATGGGAGGTGTTGGTGTGAGGTTGAGAGTAGGAGTTTTGTCTCCCCCTTTCCCTCCTGTCACTCCTCTTTTCACTGTCCCCTTCCAGAAAATTTAGGTATGAACACAGCTTGCCACCCACGGCGGGGCTGGAGAAGCAGAGCTGCAGTCAAAAAATTAATGCCCACATTCAGCAAGAGAGGGTCCAGTGTGTATCTTGGGGGGATGGGGGAGAGAGTGTGAAGGGATTGGTTGAAGAAGCTTCCAGGTGAGGGGAAGGGAAGAGGGGCTGGGACAATCCCCCATTGACAGTGGGGATCTTAATCCTGCCCTCACCTCTCCCAACCCCATCCCCTCCCTTCTTCCCACCCCGCTTCCTAGCAGAGTTGATCATCATAGTCGTCATCCTTCATCCCCTTCAGCCGAAGCCGGGCAAAGTCCTCAAACACAATGTCATCATCTGTGGCATAGCTTGGTGGTGGGAAAGAGGGTTGTGAGGTGAGGGCTTCTGACTCTTGTCCCAGCCTCCCACTCCCTGCCCTCCCCGAAGCTAGGCCTCTGGGACAGAGGCGTTCGAACAGCAGTGGGACCAGAGGTATTTACAGGAAGGGACAAAGAAAAGGCAGCAAGAGGCAGCCTCACAAGGCTAAGGCATCTTGATTTGATGCTACAATCCGCTTCTCCCCACCAAAAGCAAGGAAGAGGTATGAGGGCAGATTTGAATGTTATAGGAATCTTTGTCCCAAGAGGGTCAAGTAGGGGAATGAGTTTCTTACTTGGTATCAAATTCAATGAGGTTGGTGTCCACAGGGACATCTGTCTCCGGAGCGGCTGGGGGGACGGGAAGAGGGGGTGTGGGGGTGGGTGCTGGAAGGGCCAGTTTTCCTCCACTGGCCCTGCTTCAGGCCCTCCCTCTGAGGGCTTGGGGTGGGTAGTGTGCTCACCTGACTGGGGTCTGGGGAGGGGGATGTGGTCGTGGGGCTTGGGGTGCATAAGAACAAAAGGCAGCTCCACAGAGACATCCCTGGGGAAGGGGAGAGGCATCGTGAAGAGGACGACGACATGGGACTAGAGAGAGCCAGTGTGACCCCCACCCAGGCTCCCCCATGACACTCACCCGCCTCGAGACACCACCAGCTTCACCTTGACCCTGTAGGACACCAGGATTCCCAGCACCTCCTTGTTGGCACCCTCCTTCACGCTGCAATTGAGGGTGTTGGAGTCAGACCAGGGCCTATCACCCTGTCACCTGGCCCACCGTGGGGTTCCCACGGGGACTCTGGGCAGGACCACAAACTCGCACAGGCCCCCAGGGCCCCAGCAGCCCAGGCCGTGCGGTTATGGTACAGTGCGCACTGCACTCCCTGCTCAGAGCCTCCTTGGCTCCTCTCCAGGAAAAGCTGACGTCCTTCTCCGCTAACAGCCTTGCACCGTCTGGCTCTCCATTAGCCCCTGACCTCACCTCCTCCTCCTCTCCTGGTACTTAGTTCTTCTCCCTAAGTTGCCCTCCGGGCCTGCTGTGTGTGGCTGTGCAGTGAGAACCCTGAACAAAGGCATCCGGAGAGGTGAAATCCAGCCCTTTGTGAAGCTGGGGACCTCCAGGGCTGCTCCTGCCCGAGGGCACGATGGCACCTCCCCATTCCTCCAACACCCCAGGCTGCCCCACCTCTGAGTCTTTGTTTTCTCTCTGCCCAGAACCCTCCTTTCCTGCTCACCCACATTGCTTACTTCCGCTGGGTCCTTACTCCGAATTCACCTTCGCACCTCACTGCCCCCCATCCCTTCCTTCTCTGCCTGGCTTTTTCTCCTTCATACTTGTCACTAAACCTGCTGTACAGTGACCACTGATCAGATTTGGCTATCCTCCCTCCCCTAGAATGTAAGAGTTCTTTTTGTCTCTTCTGTTCACTGATACATCCCTGGCACACTAGGATAGAGCACTGAACCGACGTCTGGCCCCTGGCCTGCAGGGGACCCGCCCCAGCCCCACCCTCACATGGTGCTGGAAGCCAGGTTGGTGTCCTCGTGCTTGAGTTTCCCATCCAGGGCGAGACCCCGCTTCTCCCGGTTGTCGCTGAGCAGTGGGGTTATGGTGTACACCTTACAGAATGTGGAGCTGGGAGATACCTGGTCACTGGGGGTGGGGACAAGAGAACAAGATGCTTAGGGGCGCTGGGCTGGGCAAGGGGCGGCCTATGACCCCCAAGCAGCATCTCCCCCTCACTAGTCCCTTGTTTCTTTGGGCACAGGTCACAAGGGAGTAGGTTTTGGCTCAACGTGCTCAAGAAAATTAACAGCCTGGAGCCTGGCTGTGGAGGGAATACCCTTTTAAGTGAAGATGGTGGCCGGTCGCGGCGGCTCACGCCTGTAATCCCAGCACTTTGAGAGGCCGCGACGGGTGGGTCACTTGAGGTCAGGGGTTCGCAACTAGCTTGGCCAACATGGTGAAACCTCGTCTCTATTAAAAATAAGCCGGGTATGGTGGTGCATGCCTGTAGTCCCAGCTACGTGGGAGGCTGAGGCAGGAGAATCGCTTGAACCCGGGAGGTGGAGGTTGCAGTGAGCAGAGGTTGCCCCATTGCACTCCAGGCTGGGCAACAAGAGCAAAAACTCCATCTCAAAAAAAAAAAAAAAGGTGGAGATGGCTCAGGAAGAATTCTTCCTCCACCTCACATTCTCCTGATCCTGCTCTTCTCCCCTAGATTGGAACATGGGTCTCTCCCGATACTCACTCTTGTTCGAGTTGAGCCACAGGACACTTGTACTGGGCGGTGCTGAAGAGGCAGATGTCGGCGTACTGTCTCACTGTGGGGTGGGACGGGGTCAGGCAGCTCTGGATGGAGCACAAGCCACCACCACACCACAACTCCAGACCCCGTGGCGTGGCCCCCCCATGCTCCCCACTGAAGCAGTAAACACCGAGGCTCCCCGTATCATTATGGAACAACCTAAATTCTTTGAGCCCTGGTGGGTCTCCCGCACTGGGAAATGGCCTGGGCTGAGATCACACCAGGAGCCACCTGTGCAGTAACGCCCTCCCCGAAGACCCCCTTCCAAACCCCACCTCCTACCAGAGACTTTGATCTTCTTGACGGTCTTGGTGGAGTTGTTGGTGACGTGGACATTTACATTGAGGGGCTCCCCATGGTAGTACAGCTTTTGGGGGGAGGGGGTCATGTGAATTGGAACTGGTTTTCACTGTTCCCATCATCAGTGTGTCCCCAAACACAGACACATTGTTCTGGCCCCCTCCCCTCAAACCCAAGCCCACGGCAACTGTCCACACCCAGCCAAGGCAACCTCCTTTACAAATGTCCTCTTGATGTGTGGCTTCGCCCCTCCCCCAGGGTCTAAACTGCACCGTGGCATCCGTGTCACCCTCTCACGCCCCACCTCCTTGTCCAGGGAAGCCTCGAGGTGCAGGGACCGGTCAGACATGAGGAAGTGGCGTGTGGTTTCGGCTGAAGGCTGGGGGCCGGGTTTCTCCGGGGCGAACTGCACCTTTCGGATCACCAGCCGCACAGAGTTCCTGGGATCAGAGTAGGGGCAGGAGGGGTCATTCCTCACACACCCCAACCCTACTCCTCCCCCGCACGGGGCCTGGGCTCCTGGAAGCGGGGAGGAAAGCCTCCTCTTACACCACAGAGGAGGTCACTTCCCTTACCTTTTGTGGCTTTTCTCTTCTAGTGATTTAGCACAGAAGGCTCGAATCTCAAAGTCTACGCCGCAGGCCTCGGGGAGGGGAGAAAAGGCCACATCTTACCGGAGGCTCCCGCCACCATCACTGCCCTTTCTTCCTCCCCCTTCCCTCCTCTCGGGCAGGGACTCTTGCCTCATTGTGGTCTCACGACCCTGGGGACTAAGTCTTCTTCCTCTCCAAAGCCCAGAACCTGGCAGAGGCTTGGTCATGGTAGTGCAAGGGGAGCCCCCATCCCCAGATCCATGCGGGTCCACAGAGCAGGAGGCAGTGTCATGCGTGCACAATGACCACCACATACGCCCCACTTCCACGGGGGACACTGGCCTACCCTCGGCCCCACCCTGGCATCTCGACAGTTCACCCTCTGGCTCAGCTGTGCCTCCAGGCTCCTGCTGGCCCATGTCCTGCCCTAGGAGCCCTCAGAGCTGTTCCTCCCGTACCTTTCCTGTATCCTCTGGGCCTGGCTGCAGTGTGACGGAGCATGGAAGATTCTGGGGTATCTGTGGCGGAGGAAGGAGAAGACTTCAGTTCTTCCAGAAAGCCCCCAGATCTTCCTCCAAATCTCAACCTAAGAGGCTGGAGACGCTGGGTGTGGTGGCTCATGCCTGTAATCCCAACACTTTGGAAGGCTAAGGTGGGCGGATCACCTGAGGTCAGGGGTTCCAGACCAGCCTGACCAACGTGGCAAAACCCCATCACTACTAAAAATACAAAATTAGTCGTGTGTGGTGGTGCGTGCCTGTAATCCCAGCTACTCGGGAGGCTGAGGCATAAGAATCACTTGAACCTGGGAGGCGGAGGTTGCAGTGAACCAAGATTGTGCCACTGCACTCCAGCCTGGGCGACAGAGCGAGACTTTGTCTCAACAACAACAAAAAAGAGGCTGGAGAAAGGACTCCTGGGGATGAGAAGGGAAGAAGGAAGGGGCCCCAGAGAGGAGGCAGATAATCAAGGGCTTCCTGAATGCACTGGGACCCTGAAGGGAAGTGGATCTAGGGTCCCTGCCTCACTGTTTCTTCCAGATCTGCCCACAGCAGTGCCTTACCCCCACCCCAGACACAGTCCCAGCCCCAGCCCCCTGGCCCTCAGAGGGCAGGGGCATCCTCACGGTGAAGAAGAAGGGGTGGGCATGCTGGCCCAGCTTCCTCAGCAGCCGGTCCTGCAGGCGGGTGGGGGGCCGGGGTGGGTTGGGCACCGGGGGGAAGGCCTGGTAGGTGGCGATGAACAGGTCTTTGCGGAAGGACAAGCCCAGCACATCCAGGTCTTCACGGCCATAGCGGAAGGCGCAGGTGAGGGTCACAAACACTGGCAAGGGAGGGTGAGATGAGTGGTCAGGAGCCCCACTTCCCCAGTCCCCTGGCACCTAGCAGCCGCTGCTCCTCCCTCAGCAGCATAAGACTTGCCTGAACCCTACTCCTGGCTTCCACCTCCAGCCTCCATCTCTCTGGGGCGCCCTTCCAAGGCCAGCCCATTTCACTTCCCTAGCCCCCACTTTCCCTGGGCCCCCTGGACTTGGGGCCAGTACCTTTGCGGTCCTTCAGGTAGTCAGGGTCCACAAGCACCACGCCATCTAGGAGGGGGACACACCAGCTCACTTCCTGAAAGGGCCGCTCCCCGCTTTCCTGGGCCCGGGAACTTCTTCCCCTCTTGGGGAACGAGCTGTCCCTTTCTGGGAAAACTTACCTACAGGGTCCACTTTGTCCAGGTGATCTACGAAGTCCCGCTTGCCCAAGTACACGGTGAGCTGAGGATGTCAAGGGGTCACAGGGGAGATTGGGGAGGATGGTGACAGGGCATCGGAGCCCTCAAAACTGGCTGCCCTGCCCGGGGATCTCCAGGCTGGGCTATCAGGAAGGAGTTGTTCCAGGTTTCCTCCCAATAGTGTTGGAAAGTGAGGGTGGTGGCGTTTCTCAGACTAGTGGACCTTTAGGCTTTTGAGCTGCTCCTTTATCTCTGCACACCTCTGCCCACCAGCCCGGTGTGTGTGTGTTTGTGTGTGTGTGTGTGTGTGTGTGTGTGTGTCCTCAGCCAACCAGTCAGGTGTGTGTGTGAACATGTATGTGCATGTGTGTCTGTGTGTGTCCTCAGGGAGGACTCAGCCCAACCAGCGAGGTGTGTTTGTGTGTGTCCGTGTGTGTGTGTGTGTGTCCGTGTGTGTGTGTTTGCATCCTCAGGGAGGACTCAGCCCAACCAGCCAGGTGTGTGTGTATGTGTGTATGTGTGTGTGTGTCTGTGTGTGTGTGTGTTTGGATCCTCGGGGAGAACTCAGCCCAACCAGCCAGCTAGAGAGCAGCTGCCACCCTCACTAGGTCCCCTCAAGGGGCTCTAGGATAAATAGGCCATAGCCCGGGGGCTGTTAGGTTTTCCCAGCCCCACGCACCTTGGGTTGGCTCCTAGGAGGGCTACAGGCACATGGCTTGCTTTTGGCCTCCTCCTCTGTGGTCTTGCTTGGGGACCCAAGCCTGCCCCACCCAGCCCTGTGGCTGGCTCAGGCTGAGCAGCCTCTGCGGCAAGGGGCTTCAGGAGGGAAGGAAGTCGGCGCTTAGCTGTCACAGGAAGTGGGGAGCTAGGGGTTGGGGATCATCTTTGGGTAGGTTGGGGATCGTCTAGGGGAAGGCTGGGCTTTGTTGGGGCCCAGGGAGGGTCAAAAGGGTAAGTGCTGTGGAGACTCACCTTGCAGTTAGGGCTCGACTTCTTGAAGACCCTAACAAAACAGAAAGGGAAACCCCACTGCCTCCCTCAGACTCAGCAGGGACCCCACACCAGGACCCTCTCCCTCCCAGGCCTGAGAAGCAGTGCTCACCCAGGCCTCCTGCCTGAGGCTGTGGGGCTTTGCCCAGCTCTGCCCCTTTCCCCTTCTTCCCGGAAGGTCCTTCCTATTTCTAACGTGGTGGCAAGGGGAACCCTTCTTCCCGGAAGGTCCTTCCTATTTCTAACGTGGTGGCAAGGGGAACCCTTCTTCCCGGAAGGTCCTTCCTATTTCTAACGTGGTGGCAAGGGGAACCCTTCTTCCCGGAAGGTCCTTCCTATTTCTAACGTGGTGGCAAGGGGAACCCTTCTTCCCGGAAGGTCCTTCCTATTTCTAACGTGGTGGCAAGGGGAACCCTTCTTCCCGGAAGGTCCTTCCTATTTCTAACGTGGTGGCAAGGGGAAATGCCCCTTGTCTTGTCCACCCTCATTCGTCCCCTTCCCTCCCCAGTAATGGCCACTGGTTGCCCTAGGAACCACCCAGGCTCTTCCCAGAGGACCCGAATGGGCAGGTAGCCACAGTGTCTGGATAAGACCTAACCATCTTTCCATCTGGTCTACAGCTCTGACAGCTGGAGCATATAGGAGAGCAATGACCCTGGCCTTTGGCCCTCAGATAGTTTCTACCACAGGCCCTACCCAAGTTCGACTCTACTCACCTCCAACTGTCCCCAACTCCGACCTCAAGAGCTTAAAAGCCTATTTGTCTTTTAAGGCCCAGCCTTTAGGAAGCTGACCCAGCCCAGACCCTGGTCGCTCCTTGTTTTGGGTTCCTGTCACACCTTGTTTATGTTTTACTTGTGGTGTGGTAGCACACAAGGATAGTTAGCTCCCTCCCTCCTCAGACTGTGAGCCTCAGAGGCCTTATTAATTTAGGCATCTCCAGCACAATGCCAGCCATATCATGAAGATGGTAATGCTGCTAACATTTCAGAGTGACTACTCCATGCCCAGCACTGTTCCAAGTGTTTCAAATGTGTCATCTCTTGTAATACTCTGTTTTTTGAGACAGAGTCTCACTCTGTTGCCCAGGCTGGAGTGCAGTGGTGCGATCTCAGCTCACTGCAACCTCCGCCTCCCAGGTTTAAGTGATTCTCCTGCTTCAGCCTCCTGAGTAGCTGGGATTACAGGAGTGAGCCACCATGCCCGGCTATGTTTTGTATTTTTTTTTTTTTTTTGGAGATGGAGTCTCACTCTATCACCAAGGCTGGAGTAGAGTGGCACGCTGTCAGCTCACTGCAACCTCCACCTCCTGGGTTCAAGCGATTCTCATGCCTCAGCTTCCTGAGTAGCTGGGATTAGAGGTGCCTGCCATCATGCCTGGCTAATTTTTTTTTTGAAACGGAGTCTCACTCTGTCGCCCAGGCTGGAGTGCAGTGGTGCGATCTCGGCTCACTGCGACCTCTGCCTCCCGGGTTCACGCCATTCTCCTGCCTCAGCCTCCCGAGTAGCTGGGACTACAGGCACCCACCACCACGCCCGGCGAATTTTGGTATTTTTAGTAGAGATGGGGTTTCACTGTGTTAGTCAGGATGGTCTCAATCTCCCGACCTCGTGATCCACCTGTCTCAGCCTCCCAAAGTGCTGGGATTACAGGCGTGAGCCACCACGCCCGGCCGCTAATTTTTATATTTTTAGTATAGATGGGGTTTCCCCATGTTGGCCAGGCTGATCTCAAACTCCTGACCTCTAGTGATCCGCCCGCCTCAGCCTCCCAGAAGGCTGGGATTACAGGCTTGAGTCACTGTGTCTGGCCTGTATTTTGTATTTTTTTAGTAGAGACGAGGTTTCCCCATGTTAGCCAGGCTGATCTCCAACTTCTGACCTCAGGTGATCCACCCGCCTCAGCCTCCCAAAGTGCTGGGATTACAGGCGTGAGCCACCGTGCCCGGCCTTAGGTTGCAGTGAGCTGAGATTGAGCCACTGCACTCCAGCCTGGGTGACAGAGCAAGACTTTGTCTCAAAAAATAAATAAATAAATAAATTAATTAAATTAAATAAAACCACCCAGTGATGGAGCTCCTAATATCTCTGTTTTACAGGTGAGGAAACTGAGGCAGAGAGAGGTCAAGTGTTTCAAGGTCACAGAGGGAGTAAATGGTGGGAATTAATAGAAACCAAGGCAGTCTGGCTCCGAGTCCATCCTCTCGATCAATATTACACTATCTGTCTCTGCAGTTGGCATAAATAGTTTGTTGAATTGAAGGTTATTTGCTTTCCAGTTGCTGAAACAATTTAAGCCTGGACTCCACCCATTGCTGGGAGGGTAAGGAAGTGTTTGGCAACCCCAGTGATCTGGCCAATTGTGGGCCTGTTCTTTGAAGCACCACCTTACTCCTTCCAATCCACTCTGCCTCAGCAGTGATCCCTGGAAAGGATCCTCAGATAGATAGCAGAAACGTGAAATCCTGCCAACTAGCCCATCCCTCTTCCAAGTCTACCACCCCATTCCCAGAGGACCCCAATGGGCAGGTTACCACAGTGTCTGGGTAAGACCTAACCATCTTTCCATCTGGTCTCCAGCTCTGACAGCTGGAGCATATAGGAGAGCAATGACCCTGGCCTTTGGCCCTACATGGTTTCTACCATAGGCCCAGTTTCTGCTACAACTTCACTTGCCCCTTCTTCCCAGAAAGCCAAGCTGTCCAAAGGTTGTAAGGCAAAGGGTATGGAGGGCCCCAGGTATTCCTAACCAATAAAAGAGAATACACATCGATATGGTAGCCGCTAGAATAAACACCCTATCTTTCATCCCAACTTGGGAGCTGAGTGCCGTGGCATCATCCAGGCTCTCCCTCCCCTTTGCTTCTGGTTTTCCTCTTTGTCCCAGGGTGTCCTCCCATTAGGAGCCCTGGCACAGGGCTGTGACAGCCACAATCAGTGGGCCAACTGGAGTGTGGTTCTGGGGCAATTGCCCTGGAGCAGCTGCAAGGCACTTGCCCTTTGGATCCTAACCCAGCCACCTCCTGCCAGGCTGGGGAGGAGCAGCGTGCATATACTAGGCTGGCCAAGGAGGCAGAGTGTGGGGATGACCAGGGAGGTGCCCAGTGGGAGCAGGGGTAGCTGAAGCAGATGTCCTTTCACACTTCCTGCTATTCGCTCCATTTCCTGTGGCCCAGAATTTCATGGGGGTGAGGGAAATTGTGCCAAGTTAGCAGTCTCCTTTGGTCCATCCGTCCCACTCCCTGAACCACATGACGGAAATCAGGGGCCTCCCACAAGTCAGCAACTTCCCCTTTCTCTGGGATGTTTAAACCCTGATCCAGGAGACGGATCATCTCTCTGATGATCTCTTTCTGATGCTCGTCTACTTGATGCTCAGAAACCCGGGTTCTCATACTCTATAGGTTGGAAGTGGGGTTGATATGATGTTTTGCAGAGCAAGCCAGAGCTCAGGACCAATTCCCTATTCCTGATACCCTCTGAGTTGAGGCCTACAGCCCCAACCTTTTCGTCTTTTGCTCCCGCTCCCCTGCGACTCAGGCATCCACCCCTTGCCCCTTGGGGGTGTTGAGTCACAACAGGAAGTGGATTTTGCTAGAGACCAAAAAAGAGAACTCGGGGTATCAGTGGAAGGAAAGAGCCTCGATTGCACAGAAAACATCCGGGGAGTGGACGCGCGCCCAGGGTGAATACTGCCTCCCCCACCCCCAGAGAGAGGGATACGATCTAGTTTCAGGGAGGGTCGCCACGCACTCGGCTCCCCCAAGATGAAGCTGTTGCTCCTGGCAACCCAAGGGAAGGTAGAAGTTTGGGTGAGGAGCCACCCGGCCCTCGGGACAGGTGTGGGCAGCGCGACTACCTGGGGGATATTGGATAGGAGGCTTTCCATTGGCTTGGCGCGAGTCTGGAGTGGATCCCCCCCGTCCCGGCATCCAGCCTCCCCGTACACGACCCCTCGGGGCCAGCCACCTGCTCCTCCTTCCTCCATCCCTGCATCGCAGCCTGCACGGGAGAGCCCAGTAGTCTGGCCCCACATCCCTGCGAGAACCCCGACACCGGTTTTTCTGATCCCCCTCAGGCCTCGCTTTCTGCAGGGGCCCGGGCATTTCCCCCCCACCCTCATTATCCTCGAGGACCTGCGCGTGCGGCCCCGGATGGCTGTCCCTAGGGACCCAGGCGTCCGGCCCCCAGATCCTCTCCGCTGCGCCCTCGTCTGGGACCGTCCCAGCCCCCGCCCCGAGCCGCCGCCCATGCCCCGCCGCGTGGCCCCACCTCCCTTACCTGGTCCCGGGTTTCTCCCCCATGGTGCGCGCGCCCGCCGCCCGCTCGGTTCGCGGCTCGCTCGCAGCCTCCTCGCCCGCTGCCAAGATCCCTGCTCCTCCCCGCGCCAATGCGCACGCGCGCCCTCCGCGCTCTCGCCTCTTCCCCCTCCCTCCCGGCCCCGCTCTGGTCTTGGGGAACCGGGGCCAGATGCGTCAGCCGGATCGCGCGCGCCGCGGCGCTGCCCGCCCTCTCCTAGCAGACACGCGGGGCCATTGGCTCCGCCCCCAGCCCTTCGCGCTCCTTCCCAGCCTGGTAGCCCTCCCCCGCGCGCGGGGCCAGCTCCCACTCCTCCCGCCCATCTCCCCGCCCCGCTGCAACCCCTTGAAACCGATTGGACCCCCCTAAACCAAGGCGCCCGCCTTCCAGGGGATCTAAGTCTTTCGATTGGCCTTCGGCATCCAGAACCTGCAGGGGTCTCCTCCCCTTTGTTTGCTTTCTCAGTGGCGGTGGGGGCGACCGGGCTGCTGGGGGCGGTGGAATGAGCTGAAGCGCCGTCTGGGAAGGAGGATGGTGGGGGGGAACACGTGGGTGAGCGGTTCAATTGCGTGATGCTTGCTTCAGTGCGCGCCGCTCACCTGCTCCACTCGGAGCGTGCCGCCTTCTGTGGCCAGCCCTCCCGCTTCTTCACTGCAGCGTGTCAGCTCCTCCTGGTGTTTGCATTTGATCTTCGCAGGGTTCCCTTTTCCAATGTCTCTGACTATCCATCTCCTTCACCCACCCATCCCAGCTAACATCCACTCACTCACCCGCTCCCATCCATCGGTCCATCTATGGACCCATCCATCCGTGCCTATGTTATGCTATTCACTATGCCAATCGATGGGGACACATACGAATTACCATGGCCCCTGCCTTCCTAGAATAGTTGAGGAGACACATACACAGGTATTACCCAGGAATGCTATTACAGAGGTCTGAGTCAGAAGACACAGCCGCTAACAGCAATTGGCCCGGGCGGGGGTGGAGGGAGTGCAGGCTGTCCAGAGCGGGGAACAGATGAGGACAGTCTTTCTGAAGGATGCGCAGAAGTTTTTTTTCTTTTTCTTGTTTTTTTTTTTTTTTTTGAGACAGAGTCTCACTCTGTCGCCGAGGCTGGAGTGCAGTGGTGAGAGGTGACAGCGTGCTGGCAGCTCTCACTCACTCTCGGCGCCTCCTCGGCCTTGGAACCCACTCTGGCCGCGCTTGAGGAGCCCTTCAGCCCGCCACTGCACTGTGGGAGTTCCTTTCTGGGCTGTCCAAGGCCGGAGCCGGTTCCCTCAGCTTGCGGGGAGGTGTGGAGGGAGAGGCGCGGGCGGGAACCCGGGCTGCGCGCGGTGCTTGCGGGCCAGCGCGAGTTCCGGGTGGGCGTGGGCTCGGCGGCTCCGCACTCGGAGTGGCCGGCCAGCCCCGGGCAGTGAGGGGCTTAGCACCTGGGCCAGCAGCTGCTGTGCTCAATTTTTCGCTGGGCCTTAGCTGCCTTCCCTCGGGGCAGGGCTCGGGACCTGCAGCCCGCCATGCCTGAGCCTCCCCTCCCCCTCCGTGGGCTCCTGTGCGGCCCGAGCCTCTCCGACGAGCACCGCCCCCTGCTCCAAGGCACCCAGTCCCATCGACCACCCAAGGGCTGAGGAGTGCAAGCACATGCGGACTGGCAGGCAGCTCCACCTGCGGCCCCCAAGCGGGATCCACTGGGTGAAGCCAAATGGGCTCCTGAGTCTGGTGGGGACTTGGAGAACCTTTATGTCTAGCTAAGGGATTGTAAATACACCAATCGGCACTCTGTATCTAGCTCAAGGTTTGTAAACACACCAATCAGCACCCTGTGTCTAGCTCAGGGTTTGTGAATGCACCAATCCACACTCTGTATCTAGCTACTCTGGTGGGGACTTGGAGAACCTTTGTGTCTACACTCTGTATCTAGCTAATCTAGTGGGGACGTGGAGAACTTTTGTGTCTAGCTCACGGATTGTAAATGCACCAATCAGCACCCTGCCAAAACAGACCAATCAGCTCTCTGTAAAATGGACCAATCGGCTCTCTGTAAAATGAACCAATCAGCAGGATGTGGGTGGGGCCGATTAGAGAATAAAAGCAGGCTGCCTGAACCGGCAATTGCAATGCACTGGGGTACTCTTCTGTTAGGTAGACCTTTTGTTCTTTTGTTTTTTGCGGTTAAATCTTGCTGCTGCTCCTTTTTTGGGTCTACACTGCCTTTATGAGCTGTAGTACTCGCTGGGAAGGTCTGCAGGTTCACTCCTGAAGCCAGTGAAACCACGAACCCACTAAGAAGAATGAATAACTTCGGAGACACGGCCTTAAGGGGGGTAACACCGCAAAGGCCTGCAGCTTCACTCTTGAGCTAGCGAGACCACGAACCCACCAGAAGGAAGAAACTCTGAACACATCCGAACGTCAGAAGGAACAAACTCCGGATATGCTGCCTTTAAGAACTGTAACACTTGCTGTGAGGGTCCATGGCTTCATTCTTAAAGTCAGTGAGACCCCCTACAAATTCTGGACACTGGTGTTGTGTCGGCTCACTGCAACTTCCATCTCCTGGGTTCCAGCTGTTCTGCCTCAGTCTCCCGGGTAGCTGGGATTACAGGTGTCCACTACCACGCCTCGCTAGTTTATATATATATATTTTAGTAGAGATGGGGTTTCAATATGTTGGCCGGGTTGCTCTTGAACTCCTGACCTCAAATGATCCGCCTGCTTGCGCCTTCCAAAGTGCTGGAATTATAGATGTGAGCCACTGCGCCCAGCCTCTTTTTTTTTTTCTTTTTTAGGAGATGGAGTCTCACTCTGTCACCCTGACTGGAGTGCAGTGGTGGGATCTCGGCTCAACAAAACCCCTGCCTCTTGGGTTCAAGCAATTCTGTGCCTCAGCCTCGTGAGTATCTGGTATTACAGACACCTGCAATGCCTGGCTACTTTTTGTATTTTTAATAGAGACGGGGTTTCACCATGTTGGCCAAGCTGGTCTCGAACGCCTGACCTTGTGTTCCACCTGCCTCAGCCTCCCAAAGTGCTGGAATTGCAGGTGTGAGCCACCGCGCCTGGCTGGGCAGAAGTTGAGAAAGGGCATTTCAAAGAGAGAGACAAGGCACGTCCTGTTGCGTAGTGTTGGTGGGGAAGTCTGGAACAGGCTGTGGAGGATTTTGTATAGCAGATGGAGTGAGATGGAGGGCCCCACAGAAGGACATGTGGAACCAGTACTGGTTTTTAAAGCAGAGGGGGTTGGGTGCAGTGGCTCACGCCTGTAATCCCAGTACTTTGGGAGGCCGAGGGGGGTGGATCACCTGAGGTCAGGAGTTCGAGACCAGTCTGGCTAACATCGTGAAATTTAGCCTATAATCCCAGCTACTCGTGAGGCTGAGCCAGAAGAATCACTTGAACCTGGGAGACGGAGGTTGCAGTGAGCTGAGATCGTGCCGTTATACTCCAGCCTGAGTGAGAATAGTGAAACTTCGTCTCAAAAACAAACGGGCCGCGCGTGGTGGCTCACGCCTGTAATCCCAGCACTTTGGGAGGCTGAGGTGGGCGGATCACGAGGTCAGGAGATCAAGACCATCCTGGCTAACGTGGTGAAACCCTGTCTCCACAAAAAAGTACAAAAAATTAGCCGGCATGGTGGCAGGCGCCTGTAGTCCCAGCTACTTGGGAGGCTGAGGCAGGAGAATGGCCTGAACCTGGGAGGCAGAGCTTGCAGTGAGCCAAGATCGCGCCACTGCACTCCAGCCTGGGTGACAGTGCGAAACTCCATCTCGAGGAAAAAAGAAAACAAAAAACCTCCGAAAAACGAAAAATGAGCCAAATATAGTGGCTAGTGCCTAGAGTCTCATGTACTAGGGAGGCTGAGGTGGGAGGATCGTTTGAGCTGGGAGGTCAAGGCTGCAGTGAGCTGTGATCATGCCACTGCACTCCAGCCTGGGGAAATATTTTTTCAGCACCTTTTATGTACCAGGCACTGTTCTAGGTGATAGGAATAGCATAGTGTAGGAGACAGGAGCCCTTTCATGGAGTTTGTATTTTAGACAAGAGATAGTTAATAAGAAAGCAAATTTCTGGTAATGACATGAATTATAAACAGGCAAATGTGATGGAGGCTGATGGGGGTTGGAGTGGGAGCTACCGAAAAAGAAGTCGTCTCAGGATGGCAAAATGGCGTTAGTTACATAGAATCAAAGGACAGTTTCTC
Source organism: Homo sapiens (assembly GCF_000001405.40). Lineage (NCBI taxonomy): Eukaryota > Metazoa > Chordata > Mammalia > Primates > Hominidae > Homo > Homo sapiens. The sequence goes on along the minus strand of NC_000017.11, from coordinate 4,706,525 downwards.
CAGCATAATCAGCAACATGTGCAAAGGTTCGGATGTGAGAATGGGCTTTGCTGGAAAATAGAAGGCTAGCGTGGCTCAAGAATAGGAAGAGAGAAGGAAAAGGGTACTTGTGGTATGTGTTGAGGTCAGGGAGGTGGGTATGAGTCAGATTGGGTGGATTCTTTTAGGCCTCAGTGACGAGATGGGATTTCATTCTCATCACATTTGGAAGCCACAGAGGGGTTGAAGCTAGGAGTGACAACAACTTGTTTACATTTGAAAAGACCACTTTGGTTGCTGTGTGAAGGGACTACAGGGTGCTAAGAGGGAAGCAGAGAGCAACGAAGGCTTTGTAATAGACTAGGTGAGAGTGAATGGTAATTTGGACCGGAGCGGCAGTGGAGATGGAGAAAAATTAACGCTATTGGGTTAATGTATTTTGGAGGCCTTGAATGCCAGGACTTGAAGGATTGGATAGGAGGCAATAAGAGGAAAAACGGGCCAGGTGGGGTGGCTCACACCTGTAATCCCAGGACTTTGGGAGGCTGAGGCCGGCAGATCACTTGAGGTCAGGAGTTTGAGACCAGCCTGGCCAACATGGTGAAGCCCCGTCTCTACTAAAAATACAAAAATTAGCTGGGCATGGTGGTGGGTGCCTGTACTTCCAGCTACTTGGGAGGCTGAGGTAGGAGAATCACTTGAACTTGGGAGGCGGAGGTTGCAGTGAGCCGAGATCGTGCCATTGCACTCTAGCCTGGGCGACAGAGAGACTCCTCAAAAAAAGAAAAATGATGACTCTTGGATTTGAATCTAACAATCACAAAAGTACACAAACATAAACATAGAGGTATTAGCGTGTTCACTACAGTTTGCATTAGCAAAAAGCTGGAGCAGCCTTTAAGCATTAATTCAGCAATAGAATTATTAAATCATGGTGCACCCATTTCATTCATACCACAGTTTAAAAAACAGCATAAAGAAGGCCATGAGTGAAAACAAGCCACACGCAGACCCCAATCTTGTAAAATATTCATTTATGTGCTTGTGCATAGACTAATATTAGGAAAGTATACACGCTACTGGGGCAGGGCTTTGCGGGGGAGGAGCAGTTTTTCTTTTTACTTTATGCCTTTCTGTACTGTTTGAATTGGCTTTTGCAAGGCGCACGTCTTGTATCATTTCTGAAGTTGCAAATGTAGTTAAAAATGTCTGTGATTTCAAGTTACCTAGAGAGTTATTGATTCCTTCTCTTTCCCTGCCGCTGCCGAGTTGCGCGGAGGCGGAGGCTTGGGTACCTTCAAGATTCAGCTTCACTTGTAACCCACCGCCACGGCCGAGGAAGGCATTGCTGCTGGAGGGGTAATGGATGTTAATACTGCTTCACAAGAGGTGCTGAAGACCGCTCTCATCCACCATGACCTAGCACGTGGAATTCGCGAAGCTGCCAAAGCCTTAGACAAACGCCAAGCCCATCTTTGTGTGCTTGCATCCAACTATGATGAGCCTACTATGTATGTCAAGTTGGTGGAGGCCTTTGTGCTGAACACCAAATCAACCTAATTAAGGTTGATGACAACAAGAAACTAGGAGAATGGGTAGGGCTCTGTAAAAATCGACAGAGAGGGGAAACCCCGTAAAGTGGTTGGTTGCAGTTGTGTAGTAGTTAAGGACTATGGCAAGGAGTCTCAGGCCAAGGATGACATCGAAGAGTACTTGAAATGCAAGAAATGAAGAAATAAATCTTTGGCGCGCGTACACACACACACACGTTACTGATTCCTAGGCAGGGTGCGGTGGCTCATGCCTGTAATCTCAGCACTTTGGGAGGCCAAGGCGGGCGGAACACCTGAGGTCAGGAGTTCAAGACCATCCTGGCCAACATGGTGAAACCCCATCTCTACAAAAATACAAAAAAAATTAGCCGGGCGTGGTGGCGCGCGACTGTAATCCCATCTACTCGGGAGGCTGAGGCAGGGAAATCGCTTGAACCTGGAAGGTGGAGGTTGCGGTGAGCCGAGATCGCGCCACTGCACTCCAGCCTGGGCCACAGAGCGAGACTCCGTCTCAAAAAAAAAAAATGAGAGTTATTGATTCCTACAGCGAAGATGTCCCAAGACTCCGTCCGCTAAATGGAAATCGTTCCGACTTTGGCGCCTTTTGTCCGGACCACGTGTACCTTTAACATCACAGGACCGCCTCGGACACGCTCACAGGCAGCCTCATCCGCCATCACTCCGGGAACCGAGCACCCCGCTGCCTCGGCGCCCAGGCTGCTCTCTCCGCGCATGCTCCTTCCCAGCTTGAGCCCGCGAGTCCAGCCTGCCTTCACTCAGTGCGCAAGACCGCAGCCCCCTCCCCACGCCCCCTCCCCAGTAGGCGGCCGTCGCGGTGTGTTTGCGTCATCGCGCCACGCCACCACTGGAACCCGGGGGAAGATGGCGGCAGCCGTTCTGAGTGGGCCCTCTGCGGGCTCCGCGGCTGGGGTTCCTGGCGGGACCGGGGGTCTCTCGGCAGTGAGCTCGGGCCCGCGGCTCCGCCTGCTGCTGCTGGAGAGTGTTTCTGGTTTGCTGCAACCTCGAACGGGGTCTGCCGTTGCTCCGGTGCATCCCCCAAACCGCTCGGCCCCACATTTGCCCGGGCTCATGTGCCTATTGCGGCTGCATGGGTCGGTGGGCGGGGCCCAGGTGAGTCCGTGGCCCGCGTGCCCGCGGCCCTGTGGGGAGGATGGCGCGGCACCTGTGCGCCGGGATTACGGTGCAGTGCAAGTGCGATAGGGAGGTTGAAGGAAGGAGAGCTGCGGGCAGAAAGGGGATCCAGGTATCAGTCCGGACGGGATGCACGTATTTCTCCTTTATCGGCCATGAGTTTCTCCAGGGGAAAAATGGGCCTTATTTTTCTGTTGTTAGGCTATTGGTCGGCACACAGGAATCGATTAGGTTCCAGGCCCGGTCACTCACTAGTTGTATAATCTAAAAGTCTCTTTTTCCTCTGGCAATATCTGTTTCGGGGATTGTTTCGACTGACTGAATGACGCATTCAACAATAAACATTTACCGAGCTCTTATTGAGGGTCAGATACTGTACTAGGCGCTCCGGTTACAGACGTGGTGGCGATACACAAAATGCTGCGAAACAAGATGAGAATTGAATATCAGGGGTCTCTAACCTTATCTGAAGACTGGCAGAGATTTTTCCAAAGAAACCGGCGTTTAAGCTGAGACCCTAAGGATGAATAGGGGTTGGGTAGGGAAAAAATATGGGAGGGGCTGTTCAGTCAGAGGAGAGCTCATGTGGGAAGACCCTGTGGTAGGAAGGAACTGGAAAGAAGGGCATCGTTCCTGGGGCTCAGATGTGGAGGGGAAGAGAGTGGGTACAGATGAGACTGGTGAGATGGGTAGGCAGTGGTCGGGTCATGCAGAGCGTTTTAGGCCGGGTTAGGAGCCTTTGGACTTCTATAAGAATGGAATCTGATAACCATTCAGTTCTGCAAGCTAGACACTCAAGTAATTCTAAACTCTTCTTCATACACCTCCATAAGCAATCTGTCAAGTCCTGTTGATTTTATCCTTTGAGTAGTTTTCAGATCTGTCCACTCTTTTCCATCTTTCTCATTGCTCCCATTCTAGCTTGAACCCCCACCATCTTGTCCGGGTGAAGGCACTGATTCTAAGAAGGCATATTTCTAGCCCATAATAGCTGCTCCTTATAACAATCTCCTATCTTCCCTTCTCTCCCACTAAACCTCCCCCAAATTCTACCCATCCTTCAAGACCCATAAACACGAGATCTTCTGTGTCCACCCTTCATTCCTGGGACCTTCCTAGCTCTATGCTACCTTCCAGGAAGATGGTTGTCACAATTTGCTGGGTGGGTCAATAACCTTAGCCCCAGATTTATCACAGATAACCCTATCTGTTTGTCTTTAACATTACTCTGCATAATTGAGGGTGACAAAACTATATCTCTGCTATCTCAGCCCAATATCAGAGGCTGGAGCTGATTATGTATTTTCTCTTGTCTCTAAATTCCCCTCTTCTAATTTATGTGGTTTTCATCAGTCAGTTATATTACAGTGGGGTTTTTCTGTTTTCTTTATCTCACAATAGTCCCAGAATTATTATTATTTTTGAGACAAGGTCTTACTCTGTCACCCAGGTTGGAGTGCAGTGGCATGATCTTGGCTCACTGCAACCTCCATTTCCCAGCCTCAAGGGATCCTCCCACCTCAGCCTCCAGAGTAGCTGGGACCACAGGCATGCGCCACCATGCCCGGCTAATTTTTGTATTTTTGGTAGAGACGGGGTTTTGCCATGTTGCCCAGGCTGGTCTCAAAGTCCCGAGTTCAGGCGATTCACTTGCCTTGGCTTCCCAAAGTGCTGGAATTACAGGCACGGGCCACCATGCCTTGCCCCCCAGAAATTTTTTTTATAAGTATTTGTGAAATATTACCTATCCCGCCTATAAATGTGTGATTTCTTTCATCATCTCTTTCAGGACTTCCTCTCCTCCCTCAAAGTCAACTACATGAACTTAACGTCTTGCTTATTTTTCTTACATGTCTGAAGTCTAGTAGAATTTTGAGTAAAGAAGCTAAGAGTGATGTGGGAAACTAGGGCCGCCCTTTAATATTTCCTGTGCTACTTGTTTAGATACATCCTGCCTTGAATTTTTTTTCTACTTGTGTCCTTTGAATTGGGATTATGTGGAGGATTTCCTTTCCTTCCCCAAAGGTTTCATTCAACAAACATTTATTGAGTATCTGTTATGTTTTACGTACTGTTCCTCGTCTCTAGGTAGATAAATAAGACATGGTCCTTTCCCTCAGAGAATTTCTAGTCTAGTTAAGATGAGAAATGAAAGTCAGCAATAGACCTGGAGCTTGCGAGCAAGGGGGATCCACTGTTTGATCATCCACCTACCAACATGGCTTTTCCGCAGGTACTGCAAGCTCAGTAGTTCCAAAATGGAATGATCCTAGCACAGTGCTCCATATCTAGCTTGGAGTATATTATAGCAACAATCTTCTAACGGGTCTCCTTACCTTCAGTCTTGCCCTCTGTAATCCGTTCCCCACACAGTAGCTGGAGTGAGCTTTCTAAAGTAAAATTCTGATCCTGTTTGCAGCTTTTAAAAATCCTTCAGCCTCTGGGTGTTCTTTCCTCAGAGGCTTTGTACTTACTCTTCTCTTGGAATCCCTCCCTGTGCAGTGCCCCCACCCCCCCAACTCTCATCCTCCTTCCCAGTCTTCTCAATTCTTTGCTTATTTGTCACTGCCTTTGGGATATATTTCTTGGCCACCTATGATTGACTGCTCTTTATCCTACTGTCTGTTTATTTATTTCACATATACTTATAACCTCTCTCCCCTACATTCAGCAAGTCTTTGATTTGTTCTTGTATGTAATTAATAAAACTTATATAAAATTTCAGACATAAATAGTATTTTCCCCACCCCACCCTATGCTGCCCCCATCACTCAAATTTAACAGTGAACGTTTGCCAATGTTATTTCATTCCTCCCATAGCTTGGCTTTTTTTTTTTTTTTTTTTTTTTAGTGGAACTTTGCTTTTTCTTTCTTTCTCTTTTTCTTTTCTTTTCTTTTCTTTTTTTTTTTTTTGAGATAGGGCCTTACTCTAACTCAGGCTGGAGTGCAGTGGCCAGATTATGGCTCACTGCGGCCTTGGCCTCAACCTCCCAGGTTCAAGTAATCCTTCCACCTCAGCCTCCCGAGTAGCTGGGACTACAGGTGTGCCACCACCCCTGGCTAATTTAAAAATTTTTTTTGTAGACATGGGGGCTTTATATGTTGTCCAGGCTGGTCTTGAACTCCTGAACTCAAGTGATACTCCCGCCTTGGCCCCCCAAAATCCTGGGATTACAGAGGTGAACCACCGTGCTCAGCTTGGTGGACCATTTTAAAGCAAATCCCAAATGTCATTTATCCTGTATATTCTTTTGAAGGACAAAAACAGTGTCTTGTTCTGTCTTCTACGTAGGCCTCAGCCTCCTGAGTAGCTGGGATTACAGGCACCTGCCACCATACCCAGCTAATTTTGTATTTTTAGTAGAGACGGAGTTTCACCATGTTGGTCAGGCTGGTCTCGAACTTCTGACCTCAAGTTATCCTCCCCACTCGACCTCCCAAAGTGCTGAGAATACAGGCATGAGCCACCACATCCGGCCACTTTTTGTCGTATTTTAGAGTGTACTCCTACTTAAATAAAAAAATCTTCCTGCCTCAGCCTCCCAAAATGTTGGGATTACAGGGATGAGCCACTGCACCTGGCCTCTCTTTTTGTTGGATCATTTTCATCAGCATACAGGCTCAAAACTTCATCCTCGGCCAGGCGTGATGGCTCACGCCTGTAATCCCAGCACTTTGGGAGGCCAAGGTGGGTGGATCACAAGGTCAGGAGTTTAAGACCAGCCTGGCCAAGATGGTGACCCCGTCTGTATTAAAAATACAAAAATTAGCCAGGCGCAGTGGCAGGCATCTGTAATCCTGTAATCCCAGCCATTCAGGAGGCTGAGGCAGGAGAATCGCTTGAACTCGGGGCAGAGGTTGCAGTGAGCCGAGATCGCGCCTCTGCACTCTAGCCTGGGTGATAGAGTGAAACTCTGTCTCAAAAAAAAAAAAAAAAAAAAAAATCACCCTCTAGGGCTGGGTGCAGTGACTCACATCTGTAATCCCAGCACTTTGGGAGGCTGAGATGGGTAGATCATTTGATGCCAGGAGTTCGAGACCAGCCTGACCAACATGGCGAAACCTCATCTTTACTAAAAATGCAAAAATTAGCTGGGCGTGGTGACGCATGCCTGTAATCCCAGCTAATCAGGAGACTGAGGCAGGAGAATTGCTTGAGCCTGGGAGGCAGACATTGCAGTGAGCCGAGATTGCGCCTGCGAACTCTGGCCTGGGCAACAGAGGGAGACTTTGTCTCAAAAAACAAACAAATCACCCTCTAGCTACTGCCTCATTTGCCATTTGTGTACTTCCTTTTATGGCAAAAACTCCTTGAAAGTGTTATCTGTACTTTTTGTCTCTCCTTCTTCTTCTTTTAGCGTTACTTTGAAATAACTGAAAATTTACAGAAAAGTTGGAACAATATTTGAAAGAATTTCAATATATACCCTTCTCCTAGATTCTCCATTTTTTTTTTCTTTTTGAGATGGAGTCTTGCTTTGTTGCCCAGGCTGGAGTGCAGTGGTGCGATTTTGGCTCACTGCAAGCTCTGCCTCCCGGGTTCACGTCATTCTCCTGTCTCAGCCTCCCAAAGTAGCTGGGACTACAGTTGCCCACCACCATGCCCGGCTATTTTTTTGTATTTTTAGTGGAGACGGGGTTTCACCGTGTTAGCCAGGACGGTCTCAATCTCCTGACCTCGTGATCCGCCCGCCTCGGCACTCGAAGTGCTGGGATTACAGGCCTGAGCCACCGCACCTGGCTGGATTCTTCAGTTTTTAAATGCATATTTATGTTATTCTGATAATGACAGATCTCCTAAACTATCATTCTGAGAATAACATAAATGCACATTTGAAAACTGGAGAATTCTGGGTGAAGAGGATACAGGAATTCTTTCAGATATTTTTTCTGGGTCCATTTAGGAGTAAGTTGCAGATATGTCCTTTTACTTTGACATATTTTAGTGTGTATTTCCTTAAAAACAAGGACATTCTCTTACATAATCATACTCTATCATCATGATCAGAGAATTAATATTGGTACAATAAATTATTTAACCTACAGATCTTTTTTAAGTTTTGCCATCAGTTCTCCTAAAGGCATCCATTATAACAACAACAACAACAACAACATTTCTAGTCCAGGATTTAATGCAGGATCACATGTTGCATTTAGTTGTTTTTTTTGTTGTTGTTTGTTTTGCCTTGTTTTTTTTTTTTTGAGACAATCTCAGTCTGTTGCCTAGGCTGGAGTGCCGTGGCATGATCTTGGCTCACTGGAACCTCCGCCCCCTGGGTTTAAGCGATTCTCCTGCCTCAGCCTCCCAAGTAGCTGGGATTACAAGCGCCTGCTACCATGCCTGGCTAATTTTTTTTCTTTTTTTTTTTTTAGTAGCGATGGGGTTTCGCCATGTTGGCCAGGCTGGTCTCGAACTCCTGACCTCAGATCATCCACCCGCGTTGTCCTCCCGAAGTGCTGGCGTGAGCCACCGCGCCCAGCTTGCTTTTAGTTATAATGTCTCTTTAGTATTCTTTAATCTGAAATAGTTCTTCAGCCTTTGTCTTATGATCTTGATATTTTTAAAGAGTACAGAATAGTTATTTCGTAGGATGCCCCTCAGGTTAGGATCTAATCATGAGGAAACAGCAGACAAATTAAACTGGAGATTTGTGCGTTTTCAGCAAGAATACTGCAGAAGTCGTCCAGGTGCAGTGGCTCATGCCTGTTATCCCAGCATGAGATTCAGAGGCTTAGTGGGAGGCCGAAGTGGGAGGATCACTGAGTGCAGGAGTTCAAGACTAGCTTGGGCAACATGGCAAGACCCTATCTCTACAAAAAAAAAAAAAAAAAACCTTGCAGAAATGATGTGTCATTCTTGGTGCATCACATCAGGAGCACGTATTCTAGGTTAAGCAGGTCTCTGCCAGATTTCTTCACTGTTATAAAGGTATGATTTTTTTTTTTTCCATTTGTAGTTAAGTGTCTTGGGGGGAGATAATGTGAATGTCTTAGGTCTTGTCAACCTTTCACCCACTCATTTTAACATCTATTAAAGGTTCTTCCCTGAATGAATTATTACTATGATGGTTGTTCCGTTGAACTCATTACATTCAGGCTTTTAGCCTAAATGCTGCCGAAACAACCCTTTGCTGGGTGAAATGGTAACTCTTGAAGATCACTGGTGTCCATCAAGACATTAAGTTCAAAGGTCAATTTGGGTCATCATATTTGACTTATCGCTACCATTTGATACAGTTAATTATACTTTCCTATTTAAAAAACTGTCTTCACTTGACTTCTGGGATATCTCTCCCCTGTCTTTTTGTTTTTGTTTGTTTGTTTCATTGAGACAGGGTCTCGCTGTGTTGCCCAGGCTGGAGTGCAGTGGCGCGATCATAGCTTACTGCATCCTTGATCTTCCAGGCTGAGGCAGTCCGCCCTGCTCAGCCTTCTGGGTAGCTGGGACCACAGGTGTGTGCCCCCACACCCAGCTAATCTGTTTGATTTTTAGTAGAAACAAGGTCTCGCTATGTTGCTGAGGCTGGTCTTGAACTCTTGAGCTCAAGCAGTCTTCCCACTTTAGCCTCCTAAAGTACTGGGATTATAGGCGTTAGTCACCCTCCCAGCCCCTCTCCTCTCCTCTCGATTCTCCTGTTATCACACTGGTTACTCCTTTCCAGTAAAGACTGATCCCTCCTCACCTCTGTGACCTCTGAAGGTTTGAGTGCCTACAACCCAGGCCTTGCACTGTTTCTCTTCTCTTTACTCTTATTCCCTTGGTGAACTGATCCAGTCTCAAGGCCCACACCTCTTGAGTTTACATCTCCAGCCAGAAGTTCTCTTCACACTTGTCTAGCCGGTGCCTATTTGGCATCTCCGTTTTCATGTTAAATACACATCACAGATTGAACAGATCTGAAACTGAGCTCCCTATTGTCACCCCAAAACCTGCTCCTCCTGCATTAGTTCCCTTCTCGGTGAATGGCAGCTTCATCTTTCTAGTTGTTCAGCAAAAAACCTTGGCATTATCTTGGACCCTTCTTTTTATTTTCCACCCATATCCAGTTTGACGGCACATCCCGTTGGCTCTACCTTCACAGTACTTCCTGATTTTGACTGCTTTGTATCGCCACAGTTACCACATTCTTCAAGCTGCATCATCATTTGTCTGGAATATTACAGTAACCTTCTACCTCATCTGTTTGCTTCTGCCTTCTCAACAAGACAACACAAATGCTGTTGATTAAAAACAAAGCAAAACAAAAAGCAAACCAGAAGTCAGATATTGTCACTCCTGTGCGCAATTTCTCTCTCCCCCTCGTGGCTTTTATCTTACTCAGGGTGAAAGTCGGTAATCACCTATATGTCTCTGCACAGTCTGGTCCCACTCCCTTAACCTTCATCATTGGTTACTCCTCTCCACCTTGCTCACTTTTCTCCATCAACAATTTGTCTCCTTGTTGTTCTTTGGAAATAACGAAGTATGCTCTCATCTCATAGTCTTCGCTCTTTTTATTTTTCTTTTTTGAGACAGGATGTTGCTTTGCTGTTCAGGCTGGAGTGTAGTGGTGGCGATCATGGCTCACTGCAGTCTTGACCTCCCGGGGTCAAGCAGCCCTCCCACCTTAGCCTCCCAAGTAGCTGTGACCACAGGTGCCCTCCACCATGTTCGGCTAATTTTTAAAAATTCTTTGTGGAGAATGGGGGTCTCCCTCGGTTGCACAGGCTGATCTTGACCTCCTGGGCTCAAGCCATCCTCCTGCCTTGGCCTCCCAGTGTTGGGATTACAGTCATGAGCCCCTTGCCCAGCCTGTTTTTTTTTTTTTTCTTTTCCTGGAACACTCTTTTTTTTATGGTTATCAGTATGCCTTTTTATAAAAACAGCTTTACTGCGGGGGTTCATGGTGGTTCACTCCTGTAATCCCAGCACTTTCGGAGGCCAAGGTGGGCGGATCACCTGAGGTCAGGAGTTGGAGACCAGCCTGACCAATATGGTGAAACCACACCACCACGTCTGGCTAATTTTTGTATTTTTAGTAGATTTTTAGATGTTTAGTTTCGCCACGTTGGCAAGGCTGTTCTCAAACTCCTAACCTCAAATGATCTGCCCACCTTGGCCTCCCCAAGTGCTGGGATTACAGGCGTGAATCACTGCCCCCTGCCAGATTTTTTTTTTTTTTTTTTTTTTTTTTAAGAGAGAGGGTCTCACTCTTTTGCCCAGGCTGGAGTATAGTAGTGTGTTCATAGCTCACTGCAGCCTTGAACGCCTGGATTCAAGCGATCCTTCTGCCTCAGCCTCCCGAGTAGCTGGGACTGCAGGTGCATGCCATTGCACCTGGCTAATTTTTAAAAATTTTTGTAGAGATGGTGTCTCTCTGTGTTGCCCAGGCTGGTATGGAACTCCTGGCCTCAAGTGATTCGCCTGCCTTGGTTTCCCAGAATTTTGGGATTATAGGCCACCGTGCCTGGCCAAAACAGCTTTATTGAGAAATAATTCACAAACCATACAATTTAGCCATTTTATTTATTTATTTTTTCCAGACGGAGTCTCACTCTGTTGCCGAGGCTGGAGTGCAGTGGCGTGATCTCGGCTCACTGCGACCTCTGCCTCCCGGGTTCAAGCGATTCTCCTGCCTCAGCCTCCCTAGTAGTTGGGATTACGGGCGCCCGCCACCATGTCCGGCTAATTTTTGTATTTTTCAGTAGAGACGGGTTTTCATCATGTTGGCCAGGCTGGTCTCAAACTCCTGACCTCGTGATCCACCCGCTTCGGCTGCCCAAAGTGCTGGAATTACAGGCATGAGCCACGGTGCCTGGCCTTTTATTTTTTTCGAAATGGAGTCTCACATTGTCACCCAGGCTGGAGTACAGTGGTGCAATCTTGGCAAACTGCAATTTCTGCATCCTGGGTTCAAGCGATTCTCCCGGGTTCAAGCGATTCTCCCGGGTTCAAGCGATTCTCTCAGGTTCAAGCGATTCTCCTTCCTTAGCCTCCCGAGTAGCTGGGATTACAGGCGCCCACCACCACGCCTGGCTAATTTTTGTATTTTTAGTAGAGCCGGGGTTTCACCATGTTGGCCAGGCTGGTCTTGAACTCCTGACCTCATGATCCACCTGCCTCGGCCCCCCAAAGTGCTGGCATTACAGGCGTAAGCCACCGCGCCCGGCCCATTTTATTTTTATTTTATTTTATTTTTTTTGAGGTGGAGTCTCATTCTGTCACCCAGGCTGGAGTGCAGTGTCACGATCTTGGCTCATTGCGACCTCCGCCTCCCGTTCTCAAGCGGTTCTCCTGCCTCAGCCTTTGGAGTAGCTGGGATTACAGGCGCCTGCCACCACGCCTGGCTGATTTTTTTTTTTTTGTATTTTTGGTAGAGATGGCGTTTCACCATGTTGGCCAGGCTGGTCTCAAACCCCTGACCTCAGGTGGTCTGCCCACCTTGGCCTCCCAAAGTACTGGGATTATAGGCATGAGCCACTGCGCCCGGCCACAGTTCACTCACTTAGAGTATACAATTCCGTGGATTTAGTATATTTGCAGAGTTGTGCGGTCATTGCTGTGCTCAGTTTTGGAACATTTTCATCACTCCATAAAGAAATTCTGTACCCACTTACAGTCATTCCCATTGCCCACCAAGCCCTCCCTGGCTGCCTCCAGCTTTAGGCAAACAGTAATCTACTTTTTTTCTTTAGAGATTTGCCTATTCTGGCCATTTGATAGAAATGAATTGTATAATATGTAGCCTTTGGGTTTGGCTTCTTTCACTTAGCAGTCAGTTTTCAAGGTTCATCCATGTGTCAAGACTTTATTACTCTTTTCTGTTTTGCTGTGTTGGGTCTTGTGTTGCCTAGGCTGGATTCAAACTCTCAGGATTAGTCAAGTGATTCTTATGCCTCAGCCTCCCAAGTAGCTGGGACTACAGGCGGGTGCCATTGTGCCCGGCTAAAACTTCATTCCTATTTATGGCCTTTTATGCAATAGTCCCCTCTTATCTGTGCTTTCCCTTTCCATGGTTTTACTTACCTGTGGTCAACCGTGGTCTGAAAATATTAGGTGGAAAATTCCAGAAATAAGTAATTCATAAGTTTTAAATTACGTGCCATTCTGAGCAGCGTGATGGACTCTCGAGGAGTTCTGCTTCATCCTACCTGGGACGTGAATCGGACATGAATCATCCTTTTGTCCAGTGTATCCATGTTGCACATGCTCCCTGCCTGAGGGTCATCTTGTAACCATCTCGGTGATCAGATCCACTGTGGCGGTATTGCAGTGCTCGTGTTCAAGTCACCTTTATTTTACTTCATAATGGCCCAAAGCGTAAGAGTAGAGATGCTGGCATATTATTATAGTTGCTGTACTGTATTATTAGTGGTTGTTAATCTCTTACTGTGCCTAACTGATAAAATCTTTCATAGGCTTGTATGTATAGGAAAAAAACAGTTTATGTAGGGTTTGGTAGTATCCGAAGTTTCTGAGGTTTCAGGCACCTGCCTGGGGTTTTGGAAGCACCCCCTGCAGATAAGGGGGCGCTGCTGCACTATATTTGATCTGTTCACCAGTGGGTGGACGTTTGGGTTGTTTTCCCATTTTGGTTATTATGAATGATGCTGCTGTGAACGTCCATGTACAAGTTGTTGTGAGGATGTAGGTTTTCATTTCTCTTGGGTATATACGTAGGGTGGAATGGCTGGGTCATGTGTTCACTCTATGTATAACTTTTTGAGGAACTGCCAGATTGCTTTCCAGAGTGGCTGCGCCATTTTATATTTGTGGTAAATATTTGAGAGTATCAATACATCTTGTTCTCACTTTCCTTTAGGTCTCTGCTAAATGGCTTTTTCTTTTTTTGAGATGGAGTTTTGCTCTTGTTGCCCAGGCTGGAGTGCAATGGTGTGATCTCAGCTCACTGCAACCTCTGCCTCCTGGGTTCAAGCGAGTCTCCTGCCTCAGCCTCCCGAGTAGCTGGGATGACAGGCGCGTGTCACCATAACTAGCTAATTTTTCTATTTTTAGTAGAGACGGGGTTTCACCATGTTGGCCAGGCTGGTCTCGAACTCCTGACCTCAGGTGACCCACCTGCCTCGGCATCCCAAAGTGCTGGGATTACAGGCGTGAGCTACCACGCCCGGCCTAAATGGCCTTTTTGGAGATGCTTTTTGTATCTACTCTCCTAAATAAAATCCTGTCCCCTTTGCCTACTCTGGGCACTCCTTTCCTTCCTTACTCTGCTTTATTTTTCCTTGGAGTTCTTAGCACCCTCTGATATACTATGTATTTACTTTGTCAGTTGTTTATTTTCTGTCTCCTCTTAACTAGAAAATAAGTACCTGGCACCTAAAATAAGGTCTCACATGAAGTATATATCAAGTAAATATTTTCTTTTTTTTTTTTTGAGACAGAGTCTCGCTCTGTTGCCCAGGCTGGAGTGCAGTGGCATGATCTCGGCTCACTGCAAACTCCGTCTCCTGGGTTCACGCCATTCTCCTGCCTCAGCCTCCCGAGTAGCTGGGACTACAGGTGCCCGCCACCATGCCCGGCTAATTTTTTGTATTTTTAGTAGAGACGGGGTTTCACCATGTTAGCCAGGATGGTCTCGATCTCCTGACCTCGTGATCCGCCTGCTTTGGCCTCCCAAAGTGCTGGGATTACAGGCGTGAGCCACTGCGCCCGGCCATGTCAAGTAAATATTTATTTAACGAATAAATATTTCCCTCCACAAAAGGGAGAGACCTTATTAATTTTATTCAGCTCTGTATTCCTTCACGTAACCTCATGCATAGTGTATGTGTTGGAAGAAGGAACGATGCACGCCGTTAGGGAGACGCGGGTGCCGTGAGAGGAGGCTGGCCATTTGGGGCATGGAGAGGTTACCTGGGGGGCTGATGAGGAAACATCTTTCGTGGGCTTCCAGAATGTGAGAGAAGGGGAGAACTGGAAGGAGGATTCTTGTTGACTCGGTCTGTGTTGGCATTTTTACAGCTGTAAGGAAGCCAGGAATAGGGGGAGGAGGATTTGTTTGAGGGTGAAGGAAGGATAATGGATGAGTTCAGTGTCCATTCAGCAAGCATTTATGGATGTCTCCTATTAGGTGCTGCCCAGACATATAGAGGTGAAGCAGACCCATCTTTGAAGTCTGGTAGTGGGATTAGTTGGGCTGTCCTGTGTTTGGCACTACTTGGGTGGGGCATGGAGGGAAGGATCAGGCAAAATATAACTTGAGGAAAGGCCGAGAAACAGCCTTTCCCACAGGAAAAAAGGGGAAAAGCTCAAGGCTTCTAGTGGGATGGCCTTTTGGCCTCAGAGGAGATGTGACTTCAGAAAGGCTTCATAGGTGCTGGGACAGAGAAGGGCTTGAAGAATCTTCTGCATTTTTAACATCCCGTTTGTGACTCGCTTCCCTGTTTTCTTTCCTCCAGAACCTTTCAGCTCTTGGGGCATTGGTGAGTCTCAGTAATGCACGTCTCAGTTCCATCAAAACTCGGTAAGTCTTTGGCCCTTTTTTTTCTCCAGGGGCGTGTTCCCTTAGGAAGTGGGCATATGTACATCTTTGCTTTCATTGTCACCGTCCCCAGGATTCAAGACCTCTCTCTATTCCCAAGAGTGTGGAGAGTTACATTCCTTTTGTGAGCTCACTTGATTTGAACCCTACCTTTTCCAGCTCCCAGATGTCCTATTCCACCCTGGGATTACCTCTGCTCCCTTCTTTCTTTGCTTCTTCCACCTCATTCCAAGTATTTCAGGAGTTGGAAACCACAGTGGATCTGGGGATGAAGTCTTGCTGTAGCCTAGTGAGAATAAAAGAGCAGTCACTTTCTCTGAAGTCTAGCCTCCGCCCACTTAACATGACTCTCTTCTTTCTTTGAAGGTTTGAGGGCCTGTGTCTGCTGTCCCTGCTGGTAGGGGAGAGCCCCACAGAGCTATTCCAGCAGCACTGTGTGTCTTGGCTTCGGAGCATTCAGCAGGTGTTACAGGTGAGGTTTCAGCTGCTGCCCTACTTCCTCCTCCTCCCCCATCTTATTCCCCATCTTGGATGTGGCATGTTCTTTTCAACTTGGACATGTAGTTCTGGGGACAGAATAATTGGAAACAATTCCCTGATAGCAGAGAGGATAAGCTTCAAATAGAAACTTTTTTTTTGAGATGGAGTCTCACTTTGTCACTCAGGCTGGAGGGCAGTGGCATGATCTTGGCTCACTGCATCCTCTGCCTCTTGGGTTCGAATGATTCTCCTGCCTCAGCCTCCTGAGTAGCTGGGATTACAGGCCTCTGCCACCACGCCTGGCTAATTTTTGTATTTTTAGTAGAGACGAGGTTTTAACATGTTGGCCAGGCTGGTCTCAAATGCCTGACTTCAAGTGATCCGCCTGCCTCAGCCTCCCAAAGTGCTGGGATTACAGGTGTGAGGCACTGTGCCCAGCCTATATATATATTTTTATTTCAGTAGTTTTGGGGAACAGGTGGTGTTTGGTTACATGGATAATTTCTTTAGTGGTAATTTCTGAGATGTTGGTGCACCCATCACCCGAGCAGTGTACGTTGTACTCAATATGTAGTTTTTTATCCCTCACCCATCTCCCACATTTCCGCCCGAGTCCTCAGAGTTCATTATATCATTTTTATGCCTTTGCGTCCTCATAGCTTAACTCCCAGTTGTAAGTGAGAACATACGATGTTTGGTTTTTCATTCTTGAGTTACTTCACTTAGATTAATGGTCACCAACGCCATCCAGGTTGCTGCGAATGCCATTATTTTGTTCCTTTTTATGGCTGAGTAGTATTCCATGGTATATATACACCACATTTTCTCTCTCTCTCTCTGTCTCTGTCTCTCTCTCGACAGAGTTTTGCTCTGTCGCCCAGGCTGGAGTGCAGTGGCGCGCTCTCAGCTCACTGCAACCTCTGCCTCCCGGGTTCAAGCAATTCTCTTGCCTCAGCCTCCTGAGTAGCTGGGATTACAAGCGTGCGCCACCATTCCTAGCTAATTTTTTACATTTTAGTAGAGATGGGGTTTCACCATGTTGGCTAGGCTGGTCTCAAACTCCTGACCTCGTGATCCACCTGCCTTGGCCTCCCAAAGTGCTGGGATTACAGGCATGAGCCGCCACTCCTGGCCCACACCACATTTTCTTTATCCACTTGCTGGTTGATGGGTATTTAGGCTGGTTCCACATTTTTGCAATTGTGAATTGTGCTGCTATAAAATATTGTGCGCAAGGGTCTTTCTCATATAATGGCTTCTTTTCCTCTGGTAGATGTCCAGTAGTGGGATTGCTGGATCAAATGGTAGTGATGTTTCATGTTTGTTGGCCATTTGTATATCTTCTTTTGAGAATTGCCTGTTCATGTCCTTAGCTCACTTTTTGATGTGATTATTTGTTTTTTTCTGGCTGATTTGTTTGAATTCTTTGTAAATTCTGGATGTTAGTTCTTTGTCAGATGCATAGTTTGTGAAGATTTTCTCCCGCTTTGTGGGTTGTTTACTGATTATTTGTTTTGCTGTGCAGAGGCTTTTTAGTTAAGTCCCATCTATTTATCTTTGTTTTTGTTGCTTTTGGATTCTTGGTCATGAACTCTTTGCCTAAGCCAATGTCTAGAAGGGTTTTTCTGATGTTATCTTCTAGAATTGTTATGGTTTCAGGTCTTAGATTTAAGTCCTTGATCCATCTTGAGCTGATTTTTGTGTAAGGTGAGAGTGATCCAGTTTCATTCTTCTACATGTGGCTTGCCAATTATCCCAGAACCATTTGTTGAAAAGGGTGTCCTTTCCCCACTTGTTTTTGTTTGCTTTGTTGAAGATCAGTTGGGTGTAAGTATTTGGCTTTATATCTGGGTTCTCCCTTCTGTTCCATTGGTCTATGTGCCTATTTTTATATCAGTATCATGCTGTTTTGGTAACTGTAGCCTTGTAGTATATTTTGAAGTCAGGTAATGTGATGCGCCCAGATTTGTTCTTTTTGCTTAGCCTTGCTTTGGCTTTATGGGATCTTTTTTGGTTCCATATAAATTTTTGGATTGTTTTTTCGAGTTCTGTGAAGAATGATGGTGGTATTTTGGTGGGAATTGCATTGAATTTGTAGATTGCTTTTGGCAGTATGGCCATTTTCACAATATTGATTGTACCTATCCATGAACATGGATGTGTTTCCATTTGTTTGTGTCGTCTGTGATTTCTTTCAGCAGTGTTTTGTAGTTTTTCCTTATAGAGGTCTTTCACCTCCTTGGTTAGGTGTATTCCTAAGTATTTTATTTTATTTTTTGCAGCTGTTGTAAAGGTGGTTGAGTTCTTGATTTTATTCTCAGCTTAGTTGCTGATGGTGTTTAGCAGTGCTGCTGATGTGTATACATTGATTTTGTATCCTGAAACTTTACCGGCTTCATTTATTGGATCTAGGAGCTTTCTGGATGAGTCTTTAGGGTGTTCTAGGTATATGATCATATCACTGGTGAATAACGACAGTTTGACTTCCCCTTTACCGATTTAGATGTCCTTTATTTCTTCCTTTCTTCCTTTTTTTTTTCTTTTAGATGGAGTCTCTCATTCTGTTGCCCAGGCTGTAGTGCAGTGGCACAGACTTGGCTCACTGCACCCTCCGCCTCCTGGGTTCAAGCAATTCTTCTGCCTCAGCCTCCCAGGTAGCCGGGATTACAGGTGCCTGCCACCCCGCCCGGCTAATGTTTGTATTTTTAGTAGAGATAGGGTTTCGCCATGTTGGCCAGGCTGGTCTCAAACTCCTGACCTCAGGTGATCTGACTGCCTCGGCCTCCCTAAGTGCTAAGACTACAGGTGTGAGCCACTGTGCCTGGCCTAGACGCCCTTTATTTCTTTCTCTTGTCTGATTGCTCTGGCTAGGACTTCCAGTACTATGTTGAATAGAAGTGGTGAAAGTGGGCATCCTTGTCTTGTTCCAGTTCTCAAGGGGAATGCTTTCAACTTTTCCCTGTTCAGTATAAGGTTGGTTGTGCGTTTTTCATACTTTGTTGCTCTTTTAACGTTTTAATTTTTTTCCCCTACTTTTACATCCTTTGATAACATCTCCACTTAGTTATTTAACAAGCATTTTCTGAGCACATATAGCAGGCAGTGTACCAAGCTCTGGAGAGACAGTGAGATGTACATGGACCCTGCTTTCATGGTACTCAGAGTCTAGCGCTTTTTCTATGAAGTAAATGTTTACAAATAGGAAATGTTTATGCTTTGTGAACCACATATAGTTTCTATTGTATATTGTTTATTTTCCAATCCTTTAAAATGTAAAAGCCATTCTTAGTTTGTGGGCCATGCAAAAACAGGCACCCATAGACCATCATTTACTGATTCCTGTTCTAGTTGAAGATACTTTTTTTTTTTTTTTTTTTTTTTGAGATGGAGTCTTGCTGTGTTGCCTAGGCTGGAGTGCAGTGGCGTGACTGCCTCAGCCTCCCAAGTAGCTGGGACTACAGGCTCCCGCCACCACACTTGGCTAATTTTTTGTATTTTTCGTAGAGATGGGGTTTCACCATGTTAGTCAGGATGATCTCGATCTCCTGACCTCATGATCTGCCCACCTTGGCCTCCCAGAGTGCTCGGATTACAGGTGTGAGCCACCACACCCAGCGAAGATACTTTAATTGAATAATTATATAAATGAATGTGAAGTGATAAACTGAGGTAGGTGCTGTGGAGGTAAAGACTATAGTTCTTGGAAAACATGTAACAGGAGAATCTGACTTCAGCTGGGGTGGTGTGGGTGTTTGTGATCAGGGCCAGCAGTCCAGGGAGAGCTTTTCTGAACTGATCAATAGAAGTTAATTGGGTTAAGAAAGTGTTCTAATGTGCCAAAGCCATGAGAGAAGAGGAGCATGGCCTGTTTGAAGAATTCCAGCATGTGGCTAGAATTGATGAGATGTGGCTGGGGAGATAGGAAGACTGGGGACCAAGTTGTGTATGGCCTTATAGACCATGCTAAGGGTTTTGGCTTTTATTCTTGGAGTAGTGGCAACTCATGGAAGGTTTTAAGCAGGGATGAGGAGGTGGTGGTGGTGATTGAAAGTATCTCTCTGAGGCCAGGCGTGGTGGCTCACGCCTGTAATCCCAGCAGTTTGGGAGGCCGAGGTGGGCGGATCACCTGAGGTCGGGAGTTCGAGACCAGCCTGGCCAACATGGTGAAACCCTGTTTCTACTAAAAATACAAAAATTAGCCAGGCATGGTGGCAGGCACCTGTAATCCCAGCTACTTGGGAGGCTGAGGTGGGAGAATTGCTCTAACCCGGGAGATGGAGGTTGCAGTGAGCCGAGATCGCGCCACTGCACTCCAGCCTGGGTGACAGAGCGAGACTCCATCTCAAATAAGAAAGAAAGAAAGAAAATATATCTCTGGCTGCCTGTGGATAATGGATTAGAAAGGAACAGATTGGAAGCAGAAACTCTATGTAGATGGCTGCTAAAGTAATCTAGGAGAACATTCATAGTAGCTTGGACTAGGGTTGTGGCAGTAGAACTGATGAGAACGATACAGGTTTGAGACAGATTTAGTGTCAGAGTGGCAGATGCTGAGGATAGATTAGCATCGAGTAGAACACATGTCCAGGGTGACTCCTGGATTCCTGAACACTGGAAGACAGGTTTGGAGGTGTGGGAAGAAAATACCATGGCTGTGGCCTTGAGCATTCAGTAGAAGCACCATTAGTAACTATCCCCCTGATCCGGCATCAGTGGAAGTGGCCGGGCATCTCAGTGTAGCCTTGATGGTTCAGTGGGTGGAGGCTTTAGTTGGCTTTTTTTTGAGGTGGAGTCTCGCTCTGTGGCCCAGGCTGGAGTGCAGTGGCGCGGTCTCGGCTCACTGCAACCTCCACCTCCCGGGTTCAAATGATTTTCCTGCCTCAGCCTCCTGAGTAGCTGGGATTACAGGCGCCTATCACCACACCCGGCTAATTTTTGTATTTTTAGTAGAGACGGGGTTTCACCATGTTGGCCAGGCTGGTCTTGAACTCCTGACCTCAAGTGATCCACCCACCTTGGCCTTCCAAAGTGCTGGGATTACAGGTGTGAGCTACCAAGCCCAGCCCTTTTTTTGTTCTTTTTTTTTTAAGACATGGTTTCATTTTGTCACCTGGGCTAGAATATAGTGGTGTGATCATGGCTGACTGCAGCCTTGACCTCTGGTGCTCACATCAGTACCCCCCACCGCACCCACCAATAGCTGGGACTACAGGCGTGTACCACCACCCCCCGCTAATTAAAACATTTTTTTTTGTACAGATGGGTTCTTGCTATATTGTCCAGGCTGGTCTCGAACTTCTGGGCTCAAGCAGTCCTCCCACCTTGGCCTCCCAAAGTGTTGGGATTACAGGCAGGTGCTACCGTGCCTGGCCTGGCATCTTTTACTAGGGGGAAGAGTCTTCAGTGTTTAGATGGCAGTTGAAGCTGAGGATGAGGTGATCAAAATGAGCCCTTTTACGGACTGGATTTTAAAGCACACCACACTTAATGGTCAGGTAGAGGAAGATGAACTGACTAAGGAGACTGAGACAGGCCAACAGAAAGAAGAAGATAACCGGGATTGCGGGCTGGGGGGGCCAAGCGAAGACTACTTGAGGGACGAGGGAGGAGTTATTTCCGTGTGTGCCTCCTGAGGTGGGACAAGACGCAGACTGAGAATTGTTGATCAGATTAGCGGCACGGGTGGTAAGACCATAGTGAGAGTGGTTTTGCTGGAGCAGTGGACACTGAAGCCAGACTGGCACGGGATAAGAAGCGAATGGGAGAAGGGAAATGGAAGGAGAGAAGATGGGAAATCTTTTCGAGATGCTGGGCTCTAACGATGAGGGAGAGAAATTGGGTGATTACTGGGATTTGGCAAGTGAAGTATGGGCTCAAGAAAAGACTTTTTTGGTGGCTCACCCCTGTAATCCCAGCACTTTGGGAGGCCAAGGCAGGCAGATAACGAGGTCAGGAATTCAAGACCAGTCTGGCCAACATGGTGAAACCCCATCTCTACTAAAAATACAAAAATTAACTGGGCATGGTGGCATGTGCCTGTAATCCCAGCTAGGAGGGAGGCTGAGGCAGGAGAATCGCTTGAACCAGGACCTGGGAGGCGGAGGTTGCAGTGAGCCAAGATCACACCACTGCACTCCAGCCTGGGCTACAGAAGGAAACTCCATCTCAAAATAAATAAATAAAATAAAAAAGACAAGATTTTTTTAAGATGGGAGAGACTTGAGCTGTATAAATGTCAGTGGGAAGAGTCATGTGGTGGGGACTGGTTAGAAATTCAAGGGAGATAAAGCGAGTGACAGTGTAAGGTTCTGAGAGGAAGGGAGGAAGATAGTATTGAAAGCACAGCGGAGGGACTGTCTTTGGGTAGGAAGAGGGCAGGAGAGGGTGGGTAGGATGAAGATGAAATTTCGAAGTTTGGGAGTGGGAAGCGAAGGCTGTTTTATTAGGTTGGTGCAAAAGTAATTGCTGTTTTTATAGTTACTTGTAATTATCTCTGGGCTTCAGTTTTTTCTGTGAAGTTATGGGCAAGGTTAAACAGAGGTGACAGTGGTGGGAGAAGTAGCGATTTGGAAATTGGAGGAGAAAACTTTAGTAGCAGCGTTAACCAGAGAAATGTGGTAGGATTACTGGACAGGGATGAGGGCCTGTGTCGTTGGTAGGCCTGCCTGTTTTTGCTTCATAAGTATTTTCTTTTTTTGACACATGGCCTCGTCTCGTCTAGCAGGAGATATATGCTGGATGTTTTTCCTTAGATACATATTAATTTTCTAAGGAAGTCCTTTTAAATTCAAATTGTTTTTTCTCCATGGGTTCCAGGGTGGGTTTGAGCCAGTTAGCAACAACCTCGAAGAGATGGCACAGTCTTGTTATGGTTGAGGCTTATTTTTCAGTCTGAAAAGTGCTCTTCTCCCTTTCTAGCAGGGAACATTAGTATGATATCATCGGAAAATCTTTCCAGGGCTGCGGTGAGCCAAGATTGCGCTACTGCACTCCAGCCTGGATGACAGAGTGAGACCCTGTCTCAAAAAAAAAAAAAAAAAAAAAAAAAAAGGCTGGGCACTGTGGCTCACGCCTGTAATCCTAGCACTTTGGAGTCTGAAGTGGGTGGATCACTTGACTCCCAGAGTTCAAGACCAGCCTGGCCAATGTGGCAAAACCCCATCTCTACTAAAAATACAAAAATTAGCCAAGCATGATGGTCCATGCCTGTAATCCCAGCTACTCAGGAGGCTGAGGCATGAGAATCACTTGAACCCAGGAGTCAGAGGTTGCAGTGAGCTGAGATTGCCCCAGTGCATTCCACCCTGGGGGACAGAGCAAGACTCTGTCTCAAAAAAAAAAAAAAAAAGAAAAGAAAACTCAGCTGGGCGTGATGGCTCACACCTGTAATCCCAGCACTTTGGGAGGCCAAGGCGGGCAGATCACGAGGTCGGAGATCGAGACCATCCTGGCTAACATAGTGAAACCCCGTCTC
Organism: Homo sapiens; assembly: GCF_000001405.40. Classification (NCBI taxonomy): domain Eukaryota; kingdom Metazoa; phylum Chordata; class Mammalia; order Primates; family Hominidae; genus Homo; species Homo sapiens. The sequence continues at coordinate 4,683,405 of NC_000017.11, read as the reverse complement.
TACTAAAAATACAAAAAATTAGTCAGGCGTGGTGGCGGGCGCTTGTAGTCTCAGCTACTCGGGAGGCTGAGGCAGGAGAATGGCGTGAACCCGGGAGGCGGAGCTTGCAGTGAGCCGAGATCGCGCCACTGCACTCCAGCCTGGGTGACAGAGCAAGACTCCGTCTCAAAAAAAAAAAAAAAAAGAAAACTCTTCAGTTAATCAGGTCTTTAAGGTATAGCTTTGTTACTCTTTTTTTCCCCCACACAAATTCCTAGGACCCCAGATACCCGTAATAGTAAAATGTAAACACAGTATCCGTGTCTCCACACCCTCTTTTCTGCCAGGTAGTGGCTTGGATGGTCAGACTGACATTAACCGTGGCATTCCTCAGAAGGCTTGTATTTTCTCCTGCTGCTCTTTGGTGACAATCAAGGTGAGGCTGGAAGCACGAGACATTATTTTTTTCTTTAGACCCAGGACCCGCCTGCCACAATGGAGCTGGCCGTGGCTGTCCTGAGGGACCTCCTCCGATATGCAGCCCAGCTGCCTGCACTGTTCCGGGACATCTCCATGAACCACCTCCCTGGCCTTCTCACCTCCCTGCTGGGCCTCAGGCCAGAGGTGAGATGTCTCCCTGGACCCTTCCCCATGGCCCCCCGCAGTCCTCACCTTCACACACTGTTTAATTGTTTGATGGAAGTGACTGGGGAATAGGATTGAAGAAGTGAGAAGAGGGAGGGGCCAAGAAAAAGTGATTTCTGGAGAAGGGCCCTTGTGGGGTGCTGGGGGAGATGGAATATGGTGACATGGTGCTCGCAGCCTCTCGTTTCTCCCTTTGTTTTTCCTACAGTGTGAGCAGTCAGCATTGGAAGGAATGAAGGCTTGTATGACCTATTTCCCTCGGGCTTGTGGTTCTCTCAAAGTAAGTATTTATGCACTCTTCTCCCCACCAGTGTAAGCGTTGAGAGCTCTTACCTCAGATTCCTGTCCTGAGATTCCTAAGCACCTATCTTCTGATTATCCTTTAAAGTTACCTATCTCCACAAGTACACTTCTACCACTTTGTAGCACTTACCTCATTTAACCCTCGTTTTTCCAAAGAAGTTGGAATCAAGAACTTGCTAAGATCAGCAGGCACTGGAACCTGTATCTGTTTGATGCCTAAGCCAGACTCTGAACCATGGGCTCCTTCCTTTTTCTGCCTTGCCTTTTCTGTATCTCTTAAAATGCCCTACCCACTTTTCTACCACCTTGTCTTTTTTTTGAGACAGGGTCTTACTCTGTTGTCCAGGCTGGGGTGCAGTGGCACACACTTGGCTCACTGTAGCCTTGACCTCCTGGGCTCAAGCAATTCTCCCACCTCAGCCTCCCAAGTAGCTGGGACTAAGGCGTGTGCCACCACGCCCAGCTAATTATTAAATTTTTTGTAGGGGGGTCTCGCCATGTTACCCAGGCTGGTCTTGAACTCCTGACCTCAAGTGATCCTCCTGCCTCAGCTTCTCAAAGTGCTGGGATTATAAGTGTGAGCCACTGTGCCTGGCCCCCTATCTTACTTTATTCATTTTTTTTTTAAATTTTTAACGTTCAACCAATTCACATCATATCTTATTTTATTAATTTTGTTTGAGATGGAGTCTCACTCTGTTGCCAGGCTGGAGTGCAGTGGCGTGATCTTGGCTCACTGCAACCTCTGCCTCCCGGGTTCAAGCAATTGTCCTGCCTCAGCCTCCCGAGTAGCTGGGACTGCAGGTGCATACCACTACGCCCAGCTAATTTTTGTATTTTTAGTAGAGATGGGGTTTCATCATGTTGGCCAGGATGGTCTCGATCTCTTGACTTTGTGATCCGCCCGCCTTGACCTCCCAAAATGCTGGGATTACAGGCATTAGCTACTGCGCCTGGCCATTTTATTTTTTTTTGAGAGAGTCTCTGTCGCCCAGACTGGAGTGCAGTGGTGTGATATCGGCTCACTGCAAGCTCCACCTCCCAGGTTCCAAGTGATTCTCATGCCTTAGCCTCCGAGTAGCTGGGATTACAGATGTATGCAAGTAGCTGGGATTACTGACATATGCCACCACGCCCAGCTAATTTTTATATTTGTTGTAGAGACGAGGTATCACTATGTTGGCCAGGCTGGTCTTGAACTCCTGGCCCCACGTGATCCTCCCGCCTCGGCCTCCCAAAGTGTTGGGATTACAGGCATGAGCCACCTGTGCACCCAGCCTTTACTTTATTCTTGAAGGTCTTGTAATTTTCTCTGGGAATGCTTTCTGACATATCACTTCCCTAGGACAATTGCCCTAACACTTCTTTCTGTGTATATTCCTGTTTAAACTCCCTCTGTCGCTTCCTGACCCCTTCCTCCCAGTTGTCATGACACATACAAGGTGACTACAAAAGAGCCTTAGTAGGTCAGACAGGCAGGTCAGGGTGTATGTGGGTCAGATGATGGAGGAGGTCAGGAGAAGAATTACAGTGTTGTTTTTAGGGAGATACAATAACAAACATGAATGGTTTACAAATTCTGCCTAAGCAGTCACAGTTAAAGGGCCATTCGTAATTGGCACATTTGTTGTTTGCAGTATAATTGGATGCCAACTATACCTAAGAACAAGTAGGTATTCCCCTGTAGATTAAATGTTCTCTTATTTTGTTATATTCACCATTGGTTTGACAAACGATCGGACACCTGCTTACTCAGATGGAAACACAAATCTCTAGAGAGCTGGAATTTGTGGCAAATTAGTAATTTTTTGTTTAACTGGTGGAGTTAACTGTATTTGCCATTAGTATTGTTAGTTAAGGGGGAGTTTGCTATTCAGGTTGTCTTGAAAGTGAGATTATGAGGCTGGGCGTGGTGGCTCATGCCTGTAATCCCAGCACTTTGAGAGGCCAAGGCGGGCAGATTGCATGAGCTCAGGAGTTTGAGACCAGCCTGGGCAACACAGTGAAACCTCGCCTCTACTAAAATACAAAAAATTAGCCAGGCGTGGCGGTGTGTGCCTGTAGTCCCAGTTACTTGGGAGGCCGAGGCAGGAGAATTGCTTGGACCCAGGAGGCGGAGGTTGCCATGAGCCGAGATCGCACCACTGTACTCCAGCCTGGGTGACAGAGTGAGACTCTGTCTCCAAAAAAAGAAAGAAAATGAGATTAATGTGGTTCTGTGACCAAAGCAAGAAAGTAAGTTCTTGGAGGGAAAGGGAACTGGTCTTTAGTGGGTGCCCACTGTGCCATTCACTCTCCTGAGTGTCTAAGATGTGTTGTGTCATTTTATCATTGTAATTATTCTGTGGAATTTGTATCACTGCATTTTACAGAGGAGAAAACCAGCTGAGAGGGACTTAAGTGACGTAACCAAAGGTTATATTATCTGGTAATTGTAAAACCAGGGCAGGTAGCAGCTCTAGTCAATTGTTAGTGGCTGTGTAGCTCGCTGGCCTGGGAAGGACTGTGAGTCAGAGTTCCATCGGCCTGAGCGCTGTGATCAGGGAGTGATGCCTGCAGTGTCGTTAGTAACTGGTTACTCGCAGTATCTGAAAAGTGCCTGAGCAGATGCTAGTTCTGAGTGAGCGAGGGGTTGTGTCCTTGCTGGTTCCTTCTTTTCATGTGAATGCCTCTAATCACAGCTAATAGAATCTTTGGGTAGGCAGGGCAGGACATTTTGTCAAGAAGGTATTTGGAGTGACTCATCGATTTTATTAAAGATTAGCAGAGGTTATTTACTGAGGTTTTACTAAGTTTAGTAAAAACTGGTTATCTTGTCAAATGTTCTGTAAGTTAACCTCTCAAATGACACAGGCCAGCAGTTTGTCCCTGAACAAAGGTTTGGTTTTACTGCAAAAGTGTATTTTGATTCAGCTCTGTTAGGTATTATCTTTATCTACCTGCATCCCCCATGAAAGTGGAGGGGAAATTGAGTGTTACTTAACAGGATAGAAGTGTGAATAGTAAGAGTTAAGGAGACTAGAATGCTAAGTGTTCTTCTGCTGTTGCTTTTTTATTTTCAGTGTGAGTAGTCAGGAGAATTTATCTGTAATTCTCAACCTTTTGTCAGACAGTTGAACTTAAGGCCTGCATTTTGAGTACCCTTTCCAAACTAACAAATGTTCCTGTGTCCTTCCAGGGAGTGTCTTACCTTTATTTCCCTAAGAATCAAGTGCCATCTGCCAGGAGTTTGAGATCAGCCTGGCCAACATGGTGAAACCCTACCTCTACCAAAAATACAAAAAAATTAGCTGGGTGTGGTGGTGTGTGCCTGTGGTTCCAGCTACTTAGAACATTGAGGCAGGAGATCCCCTGAAGCTGGGAGGCAGAGGGTGCAGTGAGCTGAGATCGTGGCACTGCACTCTAGCCTGGGTAACAGAGTGAGACCCTGTCTCAAAAAAAAAAAAGGTCATCTGGAGAACTTCCCTCTGTTGAGGGTGTTGAGGGTTTTGGCTTTGTCGGTTGCCAGCACTTCAGATAAGAATCTGTCATGCAGAGGCTCCAGGGGCAATTTGCACTTGGAAAATCTCGCAGACTAGTACTTAGGAAAACTGATAACTGCCGTTTTGAAGTGTCTGTGTTTTCTGTTACATTCCCCGGATACTCTCAGGGTAATTGTAGACTCCAAGCTCAGGATTACTACTCCCAAGTAATGTGAATCAAGCATTCTGAGTCCATGAGGTCAATTCCTGCAGAGACTTGAACTCACTTCCTCGTCCTTGCCACATTGATGAGCAGTTCCTCGGAATGGGTGGGAAGACTGACCTACTCTTGAGAGAGCCCCAGGACATGCTGTGTGTGTGCGCGTTTTGAGTGAACTGTTCCAAGCGAGTCATTGCTTTGGTTTGCTTTGTGGGTCAGCCAGGGTAACCTGTGGTTAGAGCCGTGTCGCTTCACCGTACACTGCTTTATTGCAGTCACATAAGCAGACTTCTGTTGGCTTCAGTCCAGCTTTTTGAGCCGTTTTTGGAGATAGGGTCTCGCTCTGTGACCCAGGAGTGCAGTGTTAAGATTGTAGCTCACTGTAACCTTGAACTCCTGGGCTCAAGTGATCCTCCCACGTCAGTCTCCCAAGTAGCTAGGACTACAGGTGTGCACCACTAGGATGTCTCGGGGAAAGCGTGAGCCTGCTCTTTCCCCTTCTCTGTATGTTGCCAGTGTTGGCTCCAGATTCTTGTTTTTCCATATGCTTGTCTTGTTATCCTTACTAATTCTTTTTTTTTTCTGAGACAGAGTCTTGCTCTGTCACCCAGGCTAGAGTGCAGTGGCGTGATCTCGGCTCACTGCAACCTCCGCCTCCTGGGTTCAAGCAATTCTCCTGCCTCAGCCTCCCAAGTAGCTGGGATTACAGGTGCCCACCACTGTGCCCAGCTAATTTTTGTACTTTTAGTAGAGATGGGGTTTCACCATGTTGGCCAGGCTGGTCTTGAACTCCTGACCTCGTGATCTGCTCACCTCAGCCTCCCAAAGTGCTGGGATTACAGGTATGAGCCACCGTGCCTGGCCTTTTTTTTTTTCTTTTTGAGACAGGGTCTCACTCTCATCACCCAGGCTAGAGTACACTGACTGGCATGATCTCGGTTCTGGGCTTGGGTGGTCCTCCCACCTCAGCCTCCCAAGTAGCTGGGACTACAGGCATGCGCCACCACACCCGGCTAAGTTTTTGTATTTTTAGTAGAGATAGGGTTTCTCCATGTTGCCCAGACTGGTCTCAAACTCCTTGGCTCAAGTGATCCGCCTGCCTTGACCTCCCAAAGTGCCTGGATTACAGGCGTGAGCTACTGCACCCAGCCTGTGCTTTTTTATTGACATGTTAAGTAATAAGATCTAGAAGCAGGTCTTACAACGACTATAATTGCAAATTAGTGATGCATGTGAATGATATTTCAGGATGTGTTACAATTATAATGTGACATGAAAATGATTCTATTAGTGACAGTCACAGGTACTGCTGATACTACTGTGGCTATTTGTCTGCATTTATAAGTGAAGGAAACACTACATTTTACAAATAGGCTAGTGGGAGTAATTTTTTTCCCCATCCATGATCACAGGCCCCCTATGATTGTATATCCAACTAAATTGTGGTTCTCAGGTTAAACACTCCTGCCCTAGCACCTTCACACAGCAGGCAGAGAAAGTGCCGAATGACAGATTGCTACTCCGAGACTTGCTGCCTTACTTCTGCTCTAGCAGCCTTCTTTTTTGACCTTGTCCTGCCCTCATACCTCTGGTTAGTGTCTTAACTTCCAGCTTGGACCCTCGTTTTTGTGTGTGAGCTGGTAGAGAGTTGGAGTGTGGAGACTGTTTTTTAGTACTATGTCCTTTTGGCTTGAGGGAAAAATTTTGCAAAAACTGTCAAGGAGGAAGCCCAGCTGTCTCTGGGACAGGGCCAGGCCCTTTTCGCTCCCAAGCAGGAAGCCGAGGACCAGAGCTGGCGTTGAGGAGTCTTTTACCATGAAAGCATGTCCGTGCCCGGTGTTGATGCCCCATAGAGGGCTTTGCTTCTTGTGTCTACAGGAAAAAGAGACCTGGGCTTAGAGTCTGCTGCTGGGAACGGATGGGATGTACATCTCTGGCTCTCAGAGCTGGCTCACTGGCCTCTTCCTTTTTTCCTCCACATCCAGGGCAAGCTGGCCTCATTTTTTCTGTCTAGGGTGGATGCCTTGAGCCCTCAGCTCCAACAGGTAAAGGGCAGGGAGGGAGAGGGAGAGCCCGGGGATCTGAGCCTGGATTGTCTCTTGCTGCTCCTCCTCTAGCTTTTCTGTCCTGCCTTCATATGCCCATCTGTGTCCTTCGGCCTCATTGTCCCATCTCAGGTTTCCCTCAGAGCTCTCTCTGATCTCCATCTCTTTTGGGTGTCAGTGGGGCTGGGGGTTCTGTGGCTGGGCTGGATTCCCATCTGACCAGGTTTCTGTCCTTTCTCCCGCAGTTGGCCTGTGAGTGTTATTCCCGGCTGCCCTCTTTAGGGGCTGGCTTTTCCCAAGGCCTGAAGCACACCGAGAGCTGGGAGCAGGAGCTACACAGTCTGCTGGCCTCACTGCACACCCTGCTGGGGGCCCTGTACGAGGGAGCAGAGACTGGTAGGGACCAGGGCTGCTAGTTAGTGGAACAATAGTGAGGAAGCGTGGCAGGAAGGAACAGGAGGGGAGCCCAGAGACATGGGGCAGTTGGTTTTTGGGGAAAATGGGTTAGAATACAGGCAGGTCGTCCACCAGAAATGACAGAGGAGGGGATGGAAGAAAGACAGTGTACAGGGTAGTTGTGCTTCTGCCAGCTCCTGTGCAGAATGAAGGCCCTGGGGTGGAGATGCTGCTGTCCTCAGAAGATGGTGATGCCCATGTCCTTCTCCAGCTTCGGCAGAGGTTTTCGGGACTGGCCCGCTGCCTAGGGCTCATGCTCAGGTGTGTGTGGGTATTGGAGGGAGCGGAGGCGTGGAGCAGGAGGGATTGATGAGGGAGTGTCGCCTTCATCAGGAGAAAGGAGATGAAGGTGGGTGTGGGAGTTATGCCAGGGAGCCTGCTCTGAAGGTCTCCCTGCTCTGATTCTCTTTAGCTCTGAGTTTGGAGCTCCCGTGTCCGTCCCTGTGCAGGAAATCCTGGATTTCATCTGCCGGACCCTCAGCGTCAGTAGCAAGAATATTGTAAGTGGGATTTGTCATCTCTTCAGAGCCCTTGCTCAGGATACCAGGCAACCAGGAAAGTACTGGGGACCTGAGTCTCCCCAAACAGTGTCATCCTGGAGTCGTCCCAGAGAGCTTCCTACTTTTGTCCAAATAACATCACTTCCTATGTGTCGTGACACAGGAGCACAGTGTCAGAGTGTAGCAAATGCTTCCTTGGGGGAGGGTGAATTTGGGGATCAGCTGAGTCATTGCTGAGAGGCCCAGCCATCCTTCTTACCTTCCATCCAGGGTCTATTTTAGAGGATAGGGGTTTGATTTTGTTGGGAGAGCTGAGATCAGGGGTTGGGTTTCTTACCTATGTGTACATATGTAAATGGTCATTCCCTGTTTCTGTCTCTCTCTGGCTCTCACTTTCTTCCTCCACTCTTTATCTCTGCCCCTTTTTTCTCCAGAGCTTGCATGGAGATGGTCCCCTGCGGCTGCTGCTGCTGCCCTCTATCCACCTTGAGGCCTTGGACCTGCTGTCTGCACTCATCCTCGCGTGAGTGGGATTGGGCTGGCTGTGGTGAAGGGATAGGGCGTGCCAGAAACGAGGGTCACCATTCCTTCTCTGCCCCAGGTGTGGAAGCCGGCTCTTGCGCTTTGGGATCCTGATCGGCCGCCTGCTTCCCCAGGTCCTCAATTCCTGGAGCATCGGTAGAGATTCCCTCTCTCCAGGCCAGGAGAGGCCTTACAGGTGACCATCCAGGAAGGCAGGAAGGGAATAAAGAGGAGAGGGGGGTGAGGGGGTGCAGGTGGGCTGGGGCTTCTGGCATGTTGACCCCCCATTCATAACTGCCATCTTTGCTCATGACACAGCACGGTTCGGACCAAGGTGTATGCGATATTAGAGCTGTGGGTGCAGGTTTGTGGGGCCTCGGCGGGAATGCTTCAGGGAGGAGCCTCTGGAGAGGCCCTGCTCACCCACCTGCTCAGCGACATCTCCCCGCCAGCTGATGCCCTTAAGGTGAGGAGGCCTCAGCTCCGCCTTAGGACTCATCCTGTGCCCTTTGACCAAGTGTGCCTGCTCAGGAAACACTGTCTGCTGTGGCTGTCTTGCCTTGTTGTTTGCCTGTGGATGTGATTTATGTTTTCTCTGCCTCCAGCTGCGTAGCCCGCGGGGGAGCCCTGATGGGAGTTTGCAGACTGGGAAGCCTAGCGCCCCCAAGAAGCTAAAGCTGGATGTGGGGGAAGCTATGGCCCCGCCAAGCCACCGGAAAGGGGATAGCAATGCCAACAGCGACGTGTGTGCGGCTGCACTCAGAGGTGGGTGAGGCCTGTGCCCTGGACCACTGGGGCTCAAACGGGACCCCATCCTTTCCCCTAGTGGGACTCCCCTACCTACTATACCCTTAGGTGAAACTTTTGTGGGGAGAGTGCCTAGACCAGCCTTCGTCCACTGCGATAAGTGATCCCCCAAACAGCAGGTGAAGGGGAAGGTGCCTGTGAAATGCAGAGCCAGGCGGAAGCCCGCAGAGAGGCCAGGAGGAGGCACCCAAGCAGCCGCCCTGTTGCCAGGGCTGCAGGCGGCCTCGGGTCCTGCGGTTAGACCGGGAGCTCTGGTAGCCGACACAGCCCCTCCAAGGCCTTCGCTTCCTCCGGCGTTCAGCACGTCCTTGGTGTATCCACTTTCTATCAGGCAGAGTTCCAGCATGCGGGGAAGGCTCCTCCCTGTGAAGCTGACATTCTTCCAAGGGCAGGCTGCCTGGGGGAGCTCCCTGCTCTCACCGTAACCACTGACCTGTCCACAGGTTGCTAGTCGGATACTGTGCAGTTAATGGATGCCTTTCCTCTGGGTCCCATATATTTCACTGCCTGCCACCCCATCCCATGGGAAGGGGAGAACCGATTGTTCCCAAATATATAAATGCAAAATTATAAAATTTATAATTTTTTACTTACATTGTCTCAATTAAATACCGTCAGTGGCCCTATACAGTAGAGGTACTTTTATGATCCCCATTTTCTAGTTGAGAAGTTAAATGACTTGGCCAAGATAGGCAGTGGCAGAGTTGATGCCCATTTTGGGCTGTATGCTTCAGAAGCCCTTGCCGTCAGTCTGTTGGGAGCCTACCCTTTACACACCATTCTTCTTCCCCAGGCCTCAGCCGGACCATCCTCATGTGTGGGCCTCTCATCAAGGAGGAGACTCACAGGGTTAGTGGAGCCTCGTCTCCGTGGAGATAGGGGAAGGGGCCCCTGCTCTGTACACATTGGGGGGTGTGGCCCAGAGGTGGGTCCATTCCGACCTGGGAGTAGGCTCTGGAGAAGGGTTGGGTGGTCTTGGGGATGTTTCCAGGTGTGCTCTGTCCTTTTCAGAGACTGCATGACCTGGTCCTCCCCCTGGTCATGGGTGTACAGCAGGGTGAGGTCCTAGGCAGCTCCCCGTACACGAGCTCCCGCTGCCGCCGTGAACTCTACTGCCTGCTGCTGGCGCTGCTGCTGGCCCCGTCTCCTCGCTGCCCACCTCCTCTTGCCTGTGCCCTGCAAGCCTTCTCCCTCGGCCAGCGAGAAGATAGCCTTGAGGTAACTGTGATGGGCCAAGCCCCTCTTTGGTTCCTGGAGTCTCTTGTTTCCAAGAGACTCCCAGTATTTCTGGTGCTCACACTTGCCCTTTCTTCTTTCCTCAGGTCTCCTCTTTCTGCTCAGAAGCACTGGTGACCTGTGCTGCTCTGACCCACCCCCGGGTTCCTCCCCTGCAGCCCATGGGCCCCACCTGCCCCACACCTGCTCCAGTTCCCCCTCCTGAGGCCCCATCGCCCTTCAGGGCCCCACCGTTCCATCCTCCGGGCCCCATGCCCTCAGTGGGCTCCATGCCCTCAGCAGGCCCCATGCCTTCAGCAGGCCCCATGCCCTCAGCAGGCCCTGTGCCCTCGGCACGCCCTGGACCTCCCACCACAGCCAACCACCTAGGCCTTTCTGTCCCAGGCCTAGTGTCTGTCCCTCCCCGGCTTCTTCCTGGCCCTGAGAACCACCGGGCAGGCTCAAATGAGGACCCCATCCTTGCCCCTAGTGGGACTCCCCCACCTACTATACCCCCAGATGAAACTTTTGGGGGGAGAGTGCCCAGACCAGCCTTTGTCCACTATGACAAGGAGGAGGCATCTGATGTGGAGATCTCCTTGGAAAGTGACTCTGATGACAGCGTGGTGATCGTGCCCGAGGGGCTTCCCCCCCTGCCACCCCCACCACCCTCAGGTGCCACACCACCCCCTATAGCCCCCACTGGGCCACCAACAGCCTCCCCTCCTGTGCCAGCGAAGGAGGAGCCTGAAGAACTTCCTGCAGCCCCAGGGCCTCTCCCGCCACCCCCACCTCCGCCGCCGCCTGTTCCTGGTCCTGTGACGCTCCCTCCACCCCAGTTGGTCCCTGAAGGGACTCCTGGTGGGGGAGGACCCCCAGCCCTGGAAGAGGATTTGACAGTTATTAATATCAACAGCAGTGATGAAGAGGAGGAGGAAGAGGAAGAAGAGGAAGAAGAAGAAGAGGAAGAAGAGGAAGAGGAGGAAGACTTTGAGGAAGAGGAAGAGGATGAAGAGGAATATTTTGAAGAGGAAGAAGAGGAGGAAGAAGAGTTTGAGGAAGAATTTGAGGAAGAAGAAGGTGAGTTAGAGGAAGAAGAAGAAGAGGAGGATGAGGAGGAGGAAGAAGAACTGGAAGAGGTGGAAGACCTGGAGTTTGGCACAGCAGGAGGGGAGGTAGAAGAAGGTGCACCTCCACCCCCAACCCTGCCTCCAGCTCTGCCTCCCCCTGAGTCTCCCCCAAAGGTGCAGCCAGAACCCGAACCTGAACCCGGGCTGCTTTTGGAAGTGGAGGAGCCAGGGACGGAGGAGGAGCGTGGGGCTGACACAGCTCCCACCCTGGCCCCTGAAGCGCTCCCCTCCCAGGGAGAGGTGGAGAGGGAAGGGGAAAGCCCTGCGGCAGGGCCCCCTCCCCAGGAGCTTGTTGAAGAAGAGCCCTCTGCTCCCCCAACCCTGTTGGAAGAGGAGACTGAGGATGGGAGTGACAAGGTGCAGCCCCCACCAGAGACACCTGCAGAAGAAGAGATGGAGACAGAGACAGAGGCCGAAGCTCTCCAGGAAAAGGTGAGAGGCCAGGCAGGGAAGGTTCCTTGGGCGAGAAGGTGGGGCTGGCGGGAGAAGGGGTGGCAGCTGCTTCTCTTAGGAGAGGTTTGCCCAGCCTGAACCATTCTTCTGTGTATGTGTGTGTGACTATTCTGAATCTTGTATCTTTGTGCCTAAAAGGAGCAGGATGACACAGCTGCCATGCTGGCCGACTTCATCGATTGTCCCCCTGATGATGAGAAGCCACCACCTCCCACAGAGCCTGACTCCTAGCCATCTTCTGCACCCCACTCTTTGTTTCCAATAAAGTTATGTCCTTAGATAGCGACTGCTGCTTCTGCCTTTTGCCACACCTGGGTCCCCAGCCAGAAGCTCAAGTGTCTGCTGGGCTTTTCAGGGTGTCCATAGTATTCCCCAGATGTCTCCATAGCTGTCCTCTTTTTGACGATCCAGAGAGGAACAACTGACATTGGTGTAATGGACTGTCCCATCACTCAGCACGATGGTGTCAGAATTGTAGGATTCTGGCTGGATGCTAAACGTGCAGAATTGTGTGTAGGGTTAAGAATGAGGAGTTATAGAGACACAGCCCTGCTTTCGTGTTTGTATTCGGGGTGGGAAATGTGTGGAGAATGCATCCTAGTGAGTGGACCTGTGTCAACACCCACATGCCCACACGCATGCGTGCTCAGCCCCTTGGTCTGAAAGGGCAGGCTGAGTGATTGCTCAGTCTATGGAAGTTTAGGAAATTAGGAAAAGGTGTGGAGCAGTTTAGTCATTGAATTCTGGGAAATTTGGACCTTACCCCAAGATGAAAGGGTGTCCGTAGTGGGTACGTTGGGAATGACCTCTGTTTTGGGGCTAGTCCTCCTAATGACAGTTCCCCTCACAGCTCCCTGGCAGGAGTTTGATAAGCTCACCCCAGGCCTTCCTGCTCACTCTTGAGGTGTGGATATTTCCCACCCAGTGTCTTTTCTTTTCTTTTTTTTTTTGAGATGGACTCCTGCTCTGTCGCCCAGGCTGGAGTGCAGTGGCATGGTCTCAGCTCACTGCAACCTCTGCCTCCCAGGTTCAAGCAATTCTCTGCCTCAGCCTCCTGAGTAGCTGGGATTACAGGCGCCTGCCACTGCCTGGCTAATTTTTGTATTTTTAGTAGAGGTGGGGTTTCACCATGTTGGCCAGGCTGGTCTTGAACTCCTGAGCTCATGGTCCACCTGCCTTGGACTCCCAAAGTGCTGGGATCACAAGCATGAGACACCGCACCTGACTGTCCCAGTGTCTTTTCTTTAAGCACTAATCCTATTCTAGGCCTTGCTGGGATGGACGTGTGAGGATGAACCGAGAGATGTGTCTGTGAGAGGGTACCAAGATTGGTGGGCTTGAACTAGGGGCCCCGTGGTTTTTTTTGCTCAGTCAGTTGAATCATGAACGTAAGTAAAGTGCCTTCGCAATGCAGAAGAGGGAGTCATTTCTCCCAACATGTATCCTGAAGAGCCCTTTGAGGAGGTGGCATTTGAGCTAATTTTTGGAAACTTCAGTAGGATTTTAAAAAGTTACCCCTCAACTTGTTTTCGAAATAAACAGAAAAGTGAGAACAGTATAATAGATAACCTTTGCCTAGATTTGCCAATTAACATTTAGTCATGTTAACTCTTATCCCTATAAACTGCGTATCTACATGTAGACATGTATCTATATTACACCCATATATCTGTCTAATCTATACATCTGTAGTTATACACATTTCTTTTTTCATGGGACCACGTGAAAGTAAGCTGTAGACACCGTGGCCCTTCCCATCCCAGATTCTTTAACATGAATTATCTTCTAAGATAAGAATGTTTTTCTGCACAATCCTGATACCATTATCAAACCTAAGAAAAATAACAGTAATCCAGTGATAATTGTGATATTAAAATTTTCCTATTAATTCCTAAACTGTCTTAATAGCTTTTTTTTTTTTTTTTCCTCCTCTGAGTTCAAGAGGAATTTCTTCTAGGTGGAGAAGGCCCTGGAAGGTTTAAGGATCACTGCAAGGACAAGGGTGTAGTGTGAAAAGTGCAATAGTGGTTTTTCAGAAAGGGAAAGAACCTGATTTCTGGAAACTAGATAGGTGAAGTTGACATTGATTTTGGGGAAGAGGCTAGAACAGAATTTTTTCTCATTTGAATGGTGTTCTGGATCGGGAAAACATCCACATGGTTCAAAACTCAAGAGGTACAAAAGGTTTGTTGAAAAGTCCTCTTTAGCCATGAGATTTTCTGCCAGAGCAGCCAGTATGATCAGTTTTTGCATATTCATCTGGAGATATTGTATGCACATACAAATATATATATAATTTTAAATGCAAATGGTAGTATATTATCACGTAACATAAATCAGAGGCTGTCTCTACTAAAAAATGCAAAAAATTAGCTGGGTGTGGTGGCAGGCACCTGTAGTCCCAGCTGCTCAGGAGGCTGAGGTGAGAGAATGGCGTGAACCCGGGAGGCGGAGCTTGCAGTGAGCCATCGCGCCACTGCACTCCAGCCTGGGCGACAGTGAGACTCCATCTCAAAAAAAAAATTAGCTGGATGTGGTGGAGTGCACCTGTAATCTCAGCTACTCGGGAGGCTGAGACAGGAGAATTGCTTGAACCCAGGAGGCGGAAATTGCAGTGAGCCGAGATCGCGCCACTGCACTCCAGCCTGGGCAACAGAGTGAGATTTCGTCTAAAAAAAAAAAATATATATATATATATATATATATATATATATATGTGTGATATATATATATATGTGTGTGTGTGTATATATATATGTGTGTGTATATATATATGTGTGTATATATATGTGTATATATATATGTGTGTATATATGTGTGTGTGTATATATATGTATGTGTGTATATGCATGTATGTATCTATATGTATGTGTGTATATATATGTATGTATGTGTATATATATAATGTATGTAACTATAGGTCCACAGGAGGTTGCAGAGATGCTAATGAGAGGGTAGGGATGACAAGCTGTCCTTCAGCCAGTTTCCTCCAGTGGTTACATCTTACATTATTACAGTAAAACCATAAATTTGATGTTGGTAGTCATTGATAGGCACTGTTTTACAAAGCTGGAGATACAGCAGTGAACAAAATGCAGAAATCTCTGCCCTGCCCTTGTGGGATCTATATTCTAGATATTTTGGGGGTGGGGGGTAGACAAATAAGTAAGATGTATATTTGATGGTGAGCACAGTGGGAAAATAAAGCAAGGAAAGGGATAGATTCGTGTGGGTGTATTGTTTTCAGTATTTTGAATTTTTAAATTTTAACTTATTTAGTTTTCAAGATGGAGTCTTGCCCCAGGCTGGAGTGCAGCGTTATAATCTCGGCTCACTGCACCTCTGCCTCCTGGGTTCAAGCACTTCTCCTGCCTCAGCCTCCTGAGTAGCTGAGTAGCCGGGCATGCACCACCACGCCCGGCTACTTTTTGTATTTTTAGTAGAAATGAGGTTTCATCATGTTGGCCAGGCTGGTCTTGAACTCCTGACCTCGTGATCCGCCTGCCTCAGCCTCCCAAAGTGCTGGGATTATAGGTGTGAGCCACCGCGCCCAGCCTGTTTTCAATATTTTATAATGAAAATTTTTGAACATTCGGAGAAGTTGAAAGAATTACACCCAGAACACCCATGTCTACCATGTTACTACATGTGTGTGTGTGTGTGTGTGTGTGTGTGTGTGCAATTTTAATTACAATGGTCGAGGAAGCTCTTGCTGAGAAGGTGATGTTGAATAAAGACTCTAAAGACCCTAAAGAGTTGAGAGAGAGCTGTGTGGAGTTCTGGGGCCCAGGCACAGCAAGTACAAGGATCCTGAAGCAGGAGCATTCTTGGTGTGTTCAAGGAAAGCAAGGAGGCCAGTGAGGTTGGAAAAGGGAATGAGGTCAGAGTAATAATAGGGTGAAAGAGGATGGCTGGGGGATGGGGGGGCAGTGAGGCAGGGCCTATGGTTTCTACTTGGTGAGGTGGGAAGCCACTGGAGGGGTTTAAGCCGATAATTGATGTCACATAATTTATGTTGTAATGGAACCCGTGTGACTGCTCCTGGGGAACAGACAAAAGAAAGGGTAGTAGAGACACCAGCTAGGAAGCAGATTCAGCTAGAAGAGATGATACCTTCCACTAAGGTGTTGGAGAAGTGGTTGGATTCTAGATAATTTTTGAAGGTGGAGTTGGCAGAATTTGAAGATCATTCCATTTCTGTTCATACAGAGCTTCCTCATTCTCTTTTGACAGCTGCCTAGAATCTCATTGTATCATAATGTTTTAAACTAGTCCCCGATGATGAATATTTAGGTTGATGCTTTCTCTCTTGCTGCCACAAAACAGACATATATTTGTATAAAATGCCACGTGGACATGTCATTCTTCACATAAGTGAGTATTTGTAGAATGAATTCCAAGAAGCAGAAATGCTGAGTTCTTTCGTGGATGTTGTATCAATTTTTGCTCCCACCAGGAGTATGGGTGTTTCCCCGAACCTTTGCCAAAGTGTGTTGTTCACAGTTAACTTTGTGATCTTTGCCAATATGTTAAATGGAAATTGGCACATTAATGTGTTTTAATTTACATTTTTCTTGTGAGAGAGTTTGAGCCTCTTTTTATGTGTTTAAGATCTCTTTGCCAGCCTGGCCAACATGGTGAAACCCTGTCTCTACAAAAATTAGCCAGGCATGATGGTGGGTGCCTGTAATCCCAGCTACTTGGTAGGCTGAGGCAGGAGAATCGCTTGAACCCGGGAGGCAGAGGTTGCAGTGAGCTGAGATCACACCACTGCACTCCAGCCTGGGTGACAGAGCAAGACTCCATAAAAACAAAAAACAAAAAACAACTCTTTGAATTTCCTTTTTTTTTTTGTGAAATGTTCATATCCTTTGCCTATTAAGTTGATTTTGTTTTCTCAGTTCATAGCTCTGTATATTAGGAACATTGGCTCTTTGTAATAAGAGTTGCATTTTTTTAAGGAGTTTGTTTTTCTCTTGACTTTTAGTGGGTTTGTTTTTTTGCCATGCTGAAAATTTAATTTTCATTAGTTGAATTTATTCTTTAAAAGCTCCTGGATTTTGGACAGTATTTTTTTAAAGGGCTTTGAAGATTATTGGAATGTTCTCACATTTTTTTCCTGACGTCTTATAGATGCTAATAAGCACTTACAATGCGTGAATGCTTTCACAATCCTAATGCTTTTACGGTTTTAGTATTCCCATGCAAAGCTTTCATCCATTTGGAATTTGTTTATCTTAGCGTAAGGCATGAGGTACAAATCTAACTTTACAGTTTTGTACTAATGTCATTTAGTAAACAAAATACCCTTTCATGATTTGAAACACCTCTCATTATATTCTAAATTCCTATGTGTATTTGGATTTATTTTCGGCCTTGTGTTTTATTCCATCGATCTGCCTGTGTGCACATATTTATTGTGGTTTCATGATATGTTCCAATATCTGGGAGGAAGAGCAGGTTATTCAGGTGTGTTTTGGCTTGATCTAGGGAAGAAAACAATTGGTAGGGGCCAGAATGGGTCTGCAGTTCCAAACAGAGCCTGTCAGACTAGTCCTGGGTTTTGGAATTGCTAGTTGGGGAAATACGGGCAGGATATTGACTTCCACAGGCTCTTCAAGAGTCTATGACAAGCACAGCCCTGTGCTCGAGGACAGGGTTGGCTGAATGTTAGGATAGTTAAATTCTTCAGTTAATAATCATACTCAAAGGATAATAGATCAGGGTTATCCTGGAGAAGGTTTCTTGGGTGCAGTGGTGCATGCTTGAAGTCCCAGATCCTTGGGAGGCTGAGGCAAGAGGATCGCTTGAGCCCAGGAATTTGAGACCAACATGGGCAACACCGGGAGACCCATTCTCAAAACCAAAAACCACTGCAAGTAGCTTGGGTGTAGATCTGTTTATTAAATTTGCACGGGTGCATGGGACACAATTGGATGGCTAGCGTCTATTTGGAATTGTCTGACAAGGATTTTCAAAAAGTTGCATGGTGAAATTTCACAGGGTTTATAGACTATGGCTCTGTCTTTGAGCCCCTCAGTTGTGTTAAGTGCAGGAGAAAGATAATGGCTTAGCAGAAATAGGGGGGTTCAGAGATGGGTGGAGACCTTCAGGGCACCTTGCTGCTTTAGTTCGCTGGAGCAGGTGATGCAGGAAAGGAGGCATGAGGATGTGGCTGGCCAGGTTTACGGGGGTCAGGTGGTGAGAGCCTCGAAAGCTGTGCTCAGGAACTTGGGCCGTGTTCTAAGTGGCAGGCATTCCTTTACAGTTCATCCTTGAGGGAAGTGACTCCTCTTTTTGACCAGCTTTGGCAGGCTGTGGAGGAGAGTTGGACCTGGGAGAGCAGAGAGGAGATTTACACAGGTCCACGTGGAGGCTGGTGCAGTCTGGCTTCGGTTAGGACCCAAGGGCAGGGATGGGGAGGTGGTGCTGCCCTGTCAGAGTGCCCTTTGGCCTGTCGTCCCGGGCTTGGCTGCCACATAGGAGTGCTTCGGTTTCTGGTACTCTTGCCAAAGGCTGGCAGGACTGAACAGTCTCTCAGTCTTCATGCTTTTCCCCTGAAAGAACCGGCTGCCTAGCCCCGGCCTTTAGCCTTCTCTCGTCACACTCAGTATCCTTGTTGCTTCTGCTTCCCTAGAGACGGGGCTTTGGGAGAGTAGGTAGCTGGAAACTAAAGATCATCCCCCAAATGAAGGGCCTGTAGCCAAGATAGGAGTAGTTTGGGGTTGGGAAAGGGAAAGGAAGAAAGATTTAAACAAGCATTTATTGAATACTTATGGTGCACAAGCCAGGGCACCAGGCATTGGGGAAATGCATATTATCCAAGATGCTGCTCCAAGGGAATTCACATGCTGACAATAATGTAGAACATTTGAATGAGCAGTACCTCTGGGGTAAGAAGCAGCTGGATATGTGAGGTGTGTAGTTGAGGACAGGGTTCAGGGCTGGAGAAGATTTGGGAGGGGGCAGGTCACCCAGGGAGGATGACTGGAGTGGAAAGAGACGTGGGCTTAAGTGGAACCACATCACACCACATTTTAGGGGCAAGAGGAGCCCCTTTAAGGAGCGTGAAGAGGACTTGGAGAAGGCCATGTCCCAGAAAAGAACTTCAAACAGGAGGCAGAAAACATAGAAAACATCGTGCTGTTGAGAAATGTCCATTGGATCTGGGGAAGAGTAAGACCTCGTGAAGGAAGGAGAGAAGATGGTGCGGTGAGGTGCCGGCCCTGCTCCGCCGCCACTCACACCTCAGCACAGGGACTGTGGCAACCCAGGCGCCTGCCCTACTTGGTTCCTGAATGGTATGTTCTTTGAATGGTTTCTGTCGGCCAGGGAGCAGCTGCTCCTCAGCCTCTCTATGGTTCCTTCTCAGTCTGCAGGGACAGAGAGGCAGAGCTCCAAGATCTCAGGCTTCTGGGCCCTGGCCACCCCAACAGAGGCAGAGGTTTGATGCTTTCTCTTCAGAAGCCTTAACTGGCCATCCTGTCTAAAACTCCCCTCTTGCCTCCATCTCCCCTCATTAGCTCCTGCTTCCCCCACCCCCCACCTGATATATATGATATATATTTTTGAATATTTAGTTGGTCTCCTCGCAATAGAATGTAAACACCATTAGAGCAGAGACATTGTTGGTTTGTCTGTTGCTGCATCCCCAGTTCCAAATTCCTGTTATGTAGAAGGGGCTCAGTAACGAATGAATGAATGAACCAATGAACAAACGAATGTCTAATTGTGGTTCCTCCTCAGTTCTTTGAGCTGAACGTGGGAGATAAGCAAACCATCACCTGCAGTAGGATAAGCTCTGCAAGAACCCGGGGAGGCTCCCTCTCCAGCGGGGTGGATGTGCATTGCTGGAGCAGATTGAGAAACTGAGTTCTGATGGGAGCTTAGCTGCTCGGGTTCCTCTCACACCGTCTGTTGCAGCCTGCTCCCTTTTGACTGAATGCAACAAAAAAGAATGGGCTGGGGTGGTAGGGCACCCCTAGCATGGCACACCCTCCCCCCACTTCACCCCTTGCAAGCCAAGGAGACTTTGAGGGGCAGTTCTCAGGGCACAGATCCTAGGGAGCCCACAGGGTGCCATTCTTAGGACTTTGTCACTGTGGGGTCTCATGGATCCTCAGTCCCGGGGCCTGGGTCACTTCCACTTCTAGTCTTTGACCTGTCTGGGTCCAGTGCAAATCTGTTTTCAAATACTGGATGAGTGACCTCCCTACAAACTGCCCAGTGGATTTCCCTAAATAGCAACTTATCTGTAGACCCCCTGGACAAGGGTTGTGTGTTAGGCCTTCTTTTCTCCATGTGGTTCCTGGCAAAAGACTCGGCATAAAGAGATATTTGTGCACACGAAGTCAAGGAAATGCTCCCGCATGGGATCCAGAGCTCAAGAGGTTTCTTCTCGTTTTCAGTCCTTTGCAAAGACCCTTGGTCTGCCTTATCTCATGCTGTTCTAATGTTTCCCAACACTTGAACTAAGTGTTGCCCCAGATTTCTTCACCTTTCGGACATCTAACTCCCTGAAGTCTCCCATGTCTTTGGTTTCTCAGCCTCTCCTGTGAAACATGGTGCTGAAGCCACACTTTTGGGTCTTGAACACTAAGAACCTGCACTCATTTACACTCTGACCAGTTCAGTTCCTGCCAACCAGCCCTGCTTTCATTTGTCTTTTTTTTTTTTTAGACAGAGTTTCGCTCTTGTTGCCTAGGGTACAGTACGGTGGCGCGCGATCTCAGCTCACCGCAACCTCCGCCTCCCGGGTTCAAGCGATTCTCCTGCCTCAGCCTCCCGAGTTGCTGGGATTACAGGCATGTGCTACCATGCCCAGCTAATTTTGTATTTTTAGTAGAGATGGGGTTTCTCCACGTTGGTCAGGCTGGTCTCGAACTCCCGACCTCAGTCGATCCACCCTCCTTGGCCTCCCAAAGTGTTGGGATTACAGGCGTGAGCCACCGCACCCGGCCTCATTTGTCGTACTGCAACTACACTGTCTGCTTTTCCACCCAGCAAGCCTTTCATTCACTTGTTCCTTCCGCAACATGCATATAGTACTTCCTGTAGGCCACATGTTGTGCTAGATGTTGGAGATAAAAATGAAAACTACACAGTCACTGTCTCCAGGGGTCTCTCAGTCTCCCGAGAAAGAGAAAGGTAAATGGATAAATACAATGAAGGGAAATTGTTAGGTAATAGAGTACAAATGGGTGCCCCAAGAGAGAGCTGCCAGGTCCATAAAGGGGTTGAGTGTGGTGGGAAGATATAAAGGTATCAGAAGGGTTTGGAGAGTAGTGCCTGTGTTTTGGACAGTCTGAGGGGCAGGTATTCTGGCTAGAAGAAGGTTGGGGAGCTCTACCAATCCTACGTGGCTGGAGACAAAAAGCGGGACATTTTGACCTTTATACTATAGCAAACTAGTATTTCAGCTGACAAACATCTAGAACTTCATTTATTCCCCAAACATTTTCAGATCTGTAGAAAAGATAACAATAGCAGTTCAACAGCTACCCTGAACTTAGACTAACCAAATATTAAAGTTTGCCACATTCACTTTCTTGATATCTGAGTTTTCTTTTTCTTTCTTTCTTTTTTTTAATTTTTATTTATTTATTTTTTTGAGACGGAGTCTCACTCTGTCGCCCAGGCTGGAGTGCAGTGGCGCGATCTCGGCTCATGGCAAGCTCCGCCTCCCAGGTTCACACCATTCTCCTGCCTCAGCCTCCCGAGTAGCTGGGACTACAGGCACCCGCCACCGCACCCAGCTAATTTTTTGTATTTTTAGTAGAGACGGGGTTTCACCATGTTAGCCAGGATGGTCTCGATCTCCTGACCTCGTGATCTGCCTGCCTCGGCCTCCCAAAGTGCTGGGATTACAGGCGTGAGCCACCACGCCTGGCGATATCTGAATTTTCTTTCTTGAACCATTTGAGAGTAAGTTGCACCATCATACCTTATTCTTAAACACTAATATACTCCTGAATATTTATATAGTATTTCCCAAGATTGAGGACATTCTCTTACACAATCACGATACAATTATCAGTCAAGAATTTTAACAAATGAGAGAATACTGTTATCTAATATGTTGTCCATATGTGAATTTTCCCATTAATGTCTTTTATAGCTGTTTGTGAATTTCAGCTTCCTATGTCACCAATTCACAGGTCCCATCCCTGACACGAACTCTGTCCCTTATCCCATCCCTAAGCTCATTCCTTCCCTGATCCCTACATGTATCTATTCATGGCCCTTAGCTGAATCTCTATAGCATGGACCACCTGTGCTAACTTCTACTTAGCCGTTAAAGCCTTTTTTTTGTTTTTGTTTTTTTTGAGATGGAGTTTTGCTCTGTCACCCAGGCTGGAGTGCAGTGGTGGGATCTCGGCTCACTGCAACCTCCGCCTCCCAGGTTCAAGTGATTCTCCTGCCTCAGCCTCCCAAGTAGCTGGGATTACAGGTGCACATCACCACACCTGGCTAATTTTTGTATTTTTTAGTAGAGACGGGGTTTTATCATCTTGGCCAGGCTGGTCTTGAATTCCAAACGTTTTTGAGATGGAGTTTTTCTCTTGTTGCCCAGGCTGGAGCACGATCTTGGTTCACCGCAACCTCTGCCTCCTGGGTTTAAGCGATTCTCCTGCCTCAGCCTCCTGAGTAGCTGGGATTAATTACAGGCAAGCGCTACCATGCCCGGCTAATTTTGTATTTTTAGTAGAGACAGGGGTTTCTTCCATGTTGGTCAGGCTGGTCTCGAACTCCCAACCTCAGGTGATCTGCCCGCCTTGGCCTCCCAAAGTGCTGGGATTACAGGCATGAGCCACCGCGCCTGGCCTCACATTTTTGTGTCTCTCCAGTCAAAAGCAAAAATAATCCCAACTGACAGGAAATTTACAACTTTTATCTAAAAGGATGCCTGTTGAACAAGAATGCTGTATATTGTCAGGCAAAGATAAGGTGCAGGTTGTGGCAGAATTGACAGGTTAGCAGATGGTTGGATCCCACTAGTCCTCTCTCTGTTCTCATCTGACCACACGCTCATCAAGAGTGGGGCCTTTGACCACTGGAATGCAAGAACAACAGCAGCAACAAAAACAAAAACCCGGAAAACAAAATTCCAGCTTAGTTTTATTGCTTGGATTATTTCTTCAGTTTCTGCAGAGTACTGAATGTGGGCACTGAAAAAGACTCCTAAACTTGTGGGTCACGCTGAACAGGGGATACAGTTGCTCTTGTAACAACACAGAAGGCCCTTATTTTTTTGAGACGGAGTCTCACTCTGTCACCCAGGCTGGAGTGCAGTGGTGTGATCTCGGCTCACTGCAACCTCTGCCTCCTGGGTTCAAGCGATTCCTGTATCAGCCTCCTGAGTAGCTGGGACTACAGGTGCCTGCCACCACACCCGGCTAATTTTTTGTATTTTTAGTGGAGACGGGGTTTCACCGTGTTAGCCAGGATGGTCTCAATCTCCTGACCTCGTGATCCACCCGCCTCGGCCTCCCAAAGTGCTGGGATTACAGGCGTGAGCCACCGCGCCCGGCCTTGCATCTTATTATAATTTATATTTAATCAAAGTAAGATTCATTCGTTCATTCGGTCATTTATTCTTGGAGATATACTTCGTGCTGCACTCTGGACTGACTGTTCCTCTTATTTTATTCTGAACTTCTCTTCCTCATCCTTGGGAATTTCCTTTTGCCTTTCTGTTTCCTGGATCCCATACGTTCCTCTTTCTTGGCTTATTTCTTTATTTCAGTGGACCACATCCTCCAACAGCTTCTTAAGAACGGGTGTGTAGGAGGTAAAAGGGTTTACTCCTTGCATTTCTGAAAATAACTTTATCATCATGTTTATTTGACAATTTGGCCAGGTACAAGGATCAGAAATTCTTTTCCCTCAAAATCCTGTAGACATTTTGTCATTTCTTCTGTTTTCCAATGTTGCCATTAAGAATTTGATGGGCCCGGTGGCTCACGCCTATAACCCCAGCGCCTTGGGAGGCAGAGGCCTGAGGATTGCCTGAGCACAGGAGTTCGAGACCAGTCTGGGCAACATGGCAAGATTCTATCTCTATAAAAATTTAAAAAATTATCTGACTATGTTGGGGCACGTCTGTGGTCCCAGTTACTCGGGAGGCTGAGGCAGGAGGATTGCTTGAGCCCAGGAGGTTGAGGTTGCAGTGAGCCATGTGTGTGCCACTGCACTGAAGCCTGGGTGACAGAGTGAGACTTTCTCTCAAAAAAAAAAAAAAAAAGTTTGAGGTCGTTTTGGCTCATTTTGTCATTTTGTATGTAAGCAATGTTTTTTTTTTTTTTTTTTTTTTTTCTCTCTGGAAGCTTTTAGGATTTTGCTCTTTGTCCCCAGCTTTCTGAAATTGTGCAGTGCTATGCGTGGGTCCAGGTCTGTTTATGTTCATTTTGTTGGCACTTGGTGGGTTGTATCAACCTGGAACTAATAATATGTCCTCAGGTCTAGAAAATTTTCTTGTTTATGTTAAATGTTTTCCTCACATTTTTTTCTTATTCGGGAAATTCTATTGTTTGGATGTTGAGTTTTGGACTTACTTTCTAATTTTACTTACTTTTTCTTTCTTGATTTCTATGTCTTTGTCTTTTTTTCTGGGATGTTTCATCAACTTTTCCTCCAATCCTTCTTTTGAAATTTTAATTTCTGCTATCAAGTTTTGATTTCCAAGTGTTTAGTGTTTAGATTCCTTATAATCCGAATGTTCTTTTTGTTGCTGTAGTAAATAGGTTCCTGTTCTTGCTTCATGGCTGCAATATCTTCTCTTATCTCTCTTTGTACATTACGATAATATTTTGAAAAAGTTTTCCTCTGCACGCTCTTATCTGTCTTTTCTCCAAGTTCCCTTTCTGTCTGGTCTCTTTATTTCACAGTGGGAGCTTTCCTTAAATATCTGGTGGTGCTTGGCTGTCATAGTTAAAGTAAGGCCCTGTGAGCTCATTGGAAACTGTGTGCATTACTGGAACTTTTCAACTAGAGGACTTTGCTGGGGGTGATGGGGATGCCAGATGCCAGCATCTCTAGGCCATGTCTGTTGGTTATGCTCAGTCTCCCCAGATCTCTTATCTCTGACTCAGAGGGTGTAAGCCAGGCTGCTGGTGTCCAGGAAGCTTGGGTGTGTGGGGGCGGGGAATCCCCCTGTCCAGTATGTTGTTTTCAGCATAGAATTGCAACCTGACACTCAGCTGTGCCTGGTTTCCCCAGAAAATAATCTTTATTTTATTTCATTTTATTTTTTTTGAGACGGAGTCTGGCTCTGTCGCCCAGGCTGGAGTGCAGTGGCGCGATCTTGGCTCACTGCAACCTCTGCCTCCTAGGTTCAAGTGATTCTCCTACCTCAGCCTCCCGAGTAGCTGGGACTATAGGCGCCCGCCACCATGCCTGCCTAATTTTTGTATTTTTAGTAGAAACAGGGTTCCACCATATTGGCCAGGCTGGTCTTGAACTCCTGACCTTGTGATCAGCCCACCTCTGCCTCCCAAAGTGCTGGGATTACAGGCGTGAGCCACCGTGCCCAGCCAAAAATAATCTTATATTTCCCCCAGGATTAGGCAGAGGTAATTTCCTGGCTGTGCAGATTGGGGAAAGAGATCTGGGGGTCTAACTGCTGCCTTTAGCTATTTTCAGCTGATTTTCTGTGTCCAATCTTACTCTATGTCTGTGCATTCAGAGGTAATTGGTGCCTTCAATTTTTGAGCTTTTT
This sequence comes from Homo sapiens, assembly GCF_000001405.40. NCBI lineage: Eukaryota > Metazoa > Chordata > Mammalia > Primates > Hominidae > Homo > Homo sapiens. Next base: position 4,657,952 of record NC_000017.11, on the reverse strand, counting down.
CAGGACTCTGTTGAAACTATGCCCCAAAGAGAAAGAAACCAATGACTAACAGAAATTCTTAAGTTTGCAGGATGGCAGATAAGAAAAGAAACCTCTTGCTGAAATGCTGAAACTTCCTCTGCTTATGAGATTAAAAAAACTGGCTGAAATCAGTTGGAATCCATATGGCCAGCTGGAGTCTATGCAGAATGAGCCCGCTGACCTCACAGCCTTTCCACTGCACCTTTCACACTAGCGCCCCCCAAATTTGCACCTATGACCCATGAAGAGGCATGAAGATACCACTGTGGAGGCCCGAGGACTTTCCAGACCTTTCCTTCCCTTCCACTAATCACCTATTCATCTCAGAATCCACCCGCTAAACATTTTTTTTTTTTTTTTGAGACGGGAGTCTCGCTCTGTCGCCCAGGCTGGAGTGCAGTGGTGCGATCTCCGCTCACTGCAAGCTCCGCCTGCCGGGTTCACGCCATTCTCCTGCGTCAGCCTCCCGAGTAGCTGGGAATACAGGCGTCTGCCACCACTAATTTTTTTGTATTTTTTAGTAGAGATGGGGTTTCACCGTGTTAGCCAGGATGGTCTCGATCTCATGACCTCGTGATCCGCCCGCCTTGGCCTCGGAAAGTGCTGGGATTACAGGCGTGAGCCACCGCGCCCGGCTTAAACATTTTCTAATGAAGACACTGCCTTAAAGCTGGCACAGAAAGATTTGAGCTGGACTTCTGTCTCCTTGTTGGTCGAACTGCGATAACAAGCTTTCGTTTTCTCAAAAACCTGGTGCCATAGTATCGGCTTCTAGTGCATGGGGCAGCGAGCCCTTTCACTCGGTAACACTGCGTCAGGAACTGGCATGCATTTTGGTGGTCTCACAACCCCAGCTCTGCCCCCCAGCACATCTCGTTGAGAGGTGACAGCGTGCCGGCAGCTCTCGGCGCCTCCTCGGCCTTGGCGCCCACTCTGGCCTTGCTTGAGAAGCCCTTCAGCCCGCCGCTGCACTGCGGGAGCCCCTTTCTGCGCTGGCCAAGGCCGGAGCCGGCACCCTCAGCTTGCGGGGAGGTGTGGAGGGAGAGGCGCGAGCGGGAACAGGGGCTGCGCGCGGTGCTTGCTGGCCAGCGTGAGTTCCGGGTGGGCGTGGGCTCGGCGGACCCCGCACTCGGAGCGGCTGGCCGGCGCCCCCGGCCCGGGCAGTGAGGGGCTTAGTACCTGGGCCAGCAGCTGCTGTGCTCAATTTCTCGCCGGGCCTTAGCTGCCTTCCCGTGGGGCAGGGCTCGGGACCTGCAGCCTGCCGTGCCTGAGCCTCCCCACCCCCGCTCCGTGGGCTCCTGTGCGGCCCGAGCCTCCCCGACGAGCGCTGCCCCCTGCTCCAAGGCGCCCAGTCCAATCGACCACCCAAGAGCTGAGGAGTGCGGGCGCATGGCGCGGGACTGGCAGGCAGCTCCACGTGCGGCCTGCTGCGGGACCCACCCACCGGGTGGGTGAAGCCAGGTGGGCTCCTGAGTCTGGTGGGGACTTGGAGAACCTTTATGTCTAGCTAAGGGATTGTAAATACACCAATCGGCACTCTGTATCTAGCTCAAGGTTTGTAAACACACCAATCAGCACCCTGTGTCTAGCTCAGGGTTTGTGAATGCACCAATCCACTCTGTATCTAGCTACTCTGGTGGGGACTTGGAGAACCTTTGTGTCCACACTCCGTATCTAGCTAGTCTAGTGGGGACATAGAGAACTTTTGTGTCTAGCTCAGGGATTGTAAATGCACCAATCAGCACCCTGTGAAAACAGACCAATCAGCTCTCTGTAAAACGGACCAGTCAGCTCTCTGTAAGATGGACCAATCAGCAGTATGTGGGTGGGGCCAGATAAGAGAATAAAAGCAGGCTGCCCGAGGTCGCAGAAACAACAAGCTGGAACACGTGTGTGCGTGTTGTTTTTTTGTTTTGTTCTTTGTATTTTTTGTTTGTTTGTTTGTGCTGTTTGTAGTAAGTCTGGTCGCTGTTTGGGTCTACACTGCTTTTATGAGCTGTAACGCTCACCGCGAAGGTCTGCAGGTTCACTCCTGAACCGCGAGACCAGGAGGAACAACTCCTCCAGACGCGCTGCCTTAAGAGCTGTAACACCGCGAAGGTCTGTAACTTCACTCCTGAGCCAGCGAGACCACCAACCCACCAGAAGGAAAAAAACTCCCAACACGTCCAAACATTAGAAGGAACGAACTCCGGACACGCTGCCTTTAAGAATTGCTACACTCATTGCGAGGGTCCGCGGTTTCATGCTTGAAGTCGGTGAGCCCAAGAATCCACCAATTTTGGGCCCACCGTTCTCATCATTTTCTAATCTGTTAAGTCGGTTATCACCTGGCTGCTTCCAGGTGACAAAATCTGTTAAATCTCATCTGCAGTTGTAATCTCTCCTACTGTCTTTTTTCTTACGAGTTTATATATTTAAAACAATTTTTTTTTTGAGATGAAGTCTTACTCTGTTGCCCAGGCTGGAGTGCAATGGCGCAATCTTGGCTCACTGCAACCTCCGCCTCCCAGGTTCAAGCGATTCTCCTGCCTCAGCCTTTCCAGTAGCTGGGATTACAGGTGCGTGGCAGTACGCCCAGCTAATTTTTGTATTTTTAGTAGAGACGGGGTTTCACCATGTTGAGCAGGCTGGTCTGGAACTCCTGACCTCGGGTGATCTGCCTGCCTTGGCCTCCCAAGGGCTGGGATTATGGGCATGAGCCACGGCGTCTGGCTTTTTTTTTTTTTTTTTTTTTTTTTTTTTTTTTTTTGGAGACGGAGTTTTGCTCTTGTTGCCCAGGCTGGAGTGCAATGTCGTGATTTCGGCTCACCACAATCTCTGCCTCCCAGGTTCAAGTGATTCTCCTGCGTCAGCCTTCATGAGTAGCTGGAATTACCGGCATGGACCACCATGCCCAACTAATTTTGTATTTTTAGTAGATACGGGGTTTCTCCATGTTGGTGAGGCTGGTCTCGAACCCTCGACCTCAGGTGATCCACCTGCCTCGGCCTCCCAGTGTGCTGAGATTACAGGTGTGAGCCACTGTGCCCCCTCCCCTCCCCTTCTCTCCCCTCCCCCATTTTTTTTTTTTTTTTTTTTTTTTTTTTAATCAGGACCGTCTGCAGTATCTCTTTGGACTGAGAGGTAGTGTTCTCACCCTGGTTGCTGAGGCCAGCTTTCTCAGGCATAGGGTGGAATGGATGGATGTATCACCTTGGGAATAAAAAATGGCAGAGGCCAATCTTCCGTGTGTTTATTTTATGTACTGTGTGTTCTGTGCTTGAGGCAGACTGTAGGGACTTCCACACAACCCTATTCCTTGACTCATCTTTGAGCCACAGCCTACCGTTTGCCCCAAGGAGAGAGTTGCAAAGGCTCTTCCCCGTCTGTCTCTTCACAGGCATTTCAGGTAGCGACATTTGTCAGATATCCTGGTGACAGTTTGACCTGGTACACTCTTGCTCTTTAGCCTCCTCTTTATGTTAAATACTCTGTCTTCAGTTCAACATTTCAGTTAGAACATTTACAAGTATTTTGTTTTTCTTAATCTTACTGCGGTATCTATGGCCCAGTTTACCTTATATTGAATCTCAGGTGTTTCCGAAATTGCACACACATTCACAAGTCATGGGTGGGTTTGGGTGGTCAAAGCTTCTTACTACATCCTTTTTTTTTTTTTTTTTTGAGACAGTCTCCCTCCGTCGCCCAGGCTGGAGTGCAATGGCACGATCTCGGCTCACGCAACTTCCGTCTTCCGGGTTCAAGCAATTCTCTCACCTCTGCCTCCTGAGTAGCTGTGACTACAGGTATGTGTCACCATGTCCAGTTAATTTTCGTATTTTTAGTAGAGACGGGGGTTTCACCATGCTGGCCAGGCTGGTCTCGAACTCCTGACCTCAGGTGAGCTACCCGCCTCAGCCTTCCAAAGTGCTGGGATTACAGGTGTGAGCCACCACGCCCGGCCTATCTTTCACTTTTAAGTTCAAAGTGAAGCAGCTGAACTGAAAACAACTAATTCCATGTAAATTGTTTGCAGGATTAAGTATCATTTTCAAATGACACCATATCACTTGGAATTTCACTAGAAAATCTTCCAGTTGCCAACTCTTTTCTCAGGTTCTGAGGTTTCCAAAAAACCTTATTTCTTTCCAAGTCTCTCAGCAATGCTTTTAATACATTATAGCCAAGTATAACCTTATTACTTCCAAATGACCAAAATCCTGATAACTTCATTCTGAAAACAGGCACAGTTTGAGCCAATATTGTAAATATTTGTTTTTAATAGCTTGACTTATGTCCTGAATAGAACTGAAAACACACACACACACACACACACACACATACACACATTACACATACATAACACACATGGGTTTTATTCATTAGAGTCAGACAGAAAAGAAATCTAATTCATTGAATTTTCCATGTTTAATTTATTTCAAGACGAAGATAAAATCAAAATTTGTCCTACTTGCATTCTTTGGCTTTGTGGTATTTCATATTTTAGTCAATCTTTATTTCTGTAAACATAAATGTACTCATACTTCTTGATTTACCTAGTTCAACCACTGTTCCTCTTAATTTAAAATTATTCAGAAGTTTTCTACAAGGCATTTTTCTTTCATAACCATTTCCTAAACTTTATTTCCACATCAAAGACTTGGGATTTAATAAGAATTCTGGAGTTCTTGAACTCACGTCGTCTTCCTCCGCTTCACCCAGATGATGGACAGTGTATTTAGACCAAGGCTGGAGTCATCGTCATCTTACAGCCAATGATTAAGCCCAGTACTCCTCTCATTTCCTCCAAAAGGGTTGGTTGGACAGGATCCTTCCCTAAGGCCCTTTTTTGGGGGATTATTTCCTGGTTCCTTCTGGTTGTTTAGCAACTGGTTAAATTTCCTCACTCTTTTCTCTGTGATGTCTCCTGTGCTCGACCTACATGACTTCCATCAGTACATATGGCTAATTGATGTTGGGTGGGGCTGGAAAATAATCAGTTAAAGGATGACCTGGAGAGCTATTGGTATATCCTGCCTGTTTTTTGTTTGTTTTTTCACACTAGATTCAGCTAGTGGGCTCCACACATGTTTGTTTGTTTTTTTTTTTTTTTTTTCCTGCAATCTCAGCTCACTGTAAGCTCCGCCTCCCGGGTTCATGCCATTGTCCTGCCTCAGCCTCCCGAGTAGCTGGGACTGCAGGTGCCTGCCACCACGCCTGGCTGATTTTTTTGTAATTTTAGTAGAGACGGGGTTTCACCGTGTTAGCCAGGATGGTCTTGATCTCCTGACCTCATGATCCACCCGCCTTGGCCTCCCAAAGTGCTGGGATTACAGGCTTGAGCCACTATGCCCGGCCACCACACATCTCTTGGCATCCACAAAGTGGAGTGCCACTGGGTGGATGTCTGCCCTGTTTGCAGCTGGTATGCCTTATCCCCTAGGCTTCTGTCTCCTGTAAGGCAAGGGGGCCTGTGGTTTCCGCCAACACTTTGTTTTGTTTTTTCAGATGGAGTCTCGCTCTGTCGCCCAGGCTGGAGTGCAGTGGTGTGATCTGGGCTCACTGCAACCTCCACCTCCCGGGTTCAAGCAATTCTCCTGTCTCAGCCTCTCCGGTTGGTGGGACTACAGGTGTGCACCACTACTCCCAGCTAATTTTTGTATTTTTAGTTTTTTCATAGAGACAGGGTTTCACCATGTTGTCCAGGCTGGTCTCAAACTCCTGACCTCAGGTGATCCACCCGCCTTGGCCTCCCAAACTGCTGGGATTATAGACATGAGCCACTGCGCCTGGCCAACACTTCTTGAGACAAGGAGTGACTTAGTTCATCTCTCCAGGCCTTCTTCTACTTTGTCTTTGACTTCTGCATGTCTGTTCCAGTTATTGCATAATGAATCACTCCAAAATGACGACTGAAGACATCAATCATTATTTTACTATTAGCGTTTAGAGTTTTGACAATTGACAGGGGCTCAGCTAAATTATCCTTACTTGGAGACTTTCATGTGGTTGTAGTTAGACAGTGGCTGAGGCTGGAGTCATCTGGAAGACTTCCTAAGTCATACTGGTGGTCAGTACTGGCTTTTTACCTGGATCTAGAGTTAGGGCTGTCGGCTGGGACATCCACACATGGTCTCTCCATGCCACCTGGGTTTCCTCACAGCATGGTGACCGTTCCAAGAGTGAGCAAAGGCTCACTCACAGAGTTAGCAAGAGTGATCCCAAGGCAGCAAAGTGAAAGGAATTGCATGGCATTTGACCTAGTCTCAGAAGTCACGGCCAGGCGCAGTGGCTCACGCCTGTAATCCCAGCACTTTGGGAGGCTGAGGTGGGCGGATCACGAGGTCAAGAGATCGAGACCATCCTGGCCAACATGGTGAAACCCCGTCTCTACTAAAAAGACAAAAATTAGCCAGGTGTGGTGGTGCATGCCTGTAATCCCAGCTACTTGGGAGGCTGAGGCAGGAGAATCACTTGAACTTGGGAGATGGAGGTTGCAGTGAGCCAAGATTGCGACATTGCACTCCAGCCTGGGCAACAAGAGCGAAACTCTGTCTCAAAAAAAAAAAAAAAAAAAAAAATATATATATATATATATATATATATATAGATTCAATGCAATCCCAATTTTAAAAAAAAGGATTTTAATTATTTATTTTAAGACAGAGTCTCACTCTGTTGTCCAGGCTGGAGTACAATGGCATGATCTTGGCTCACTGCAACCTCCGCCTTCTGGGTTCAAGCAATCCTCCTGCTTCAGCTCCTGAGTAGCTCGGATTACAGGTGCCCGCCACCATGCCCAGCTAATTTTTATATTTTTAGTAGAGACGGAGTTTCACCATGTTGGCCAGGCTGGTCTCGAACTCCTGGGGTTAAGTCACCTTCATGCCTCAGTCTCCCAAAGTGCTGGTATTACAGACGTGAGCCACTGCACCCGGCCAAAAATACAGTAGGAATTTATGCTAATAATTTTTATCAATATCAATAAGCAGATTGCAAAATTTATAGCAAAAGGCTAAGGTAATGGAATATCTAAAATAGTTTTGGAAATGAAGAACGATGTTTCAAGACTAGTACTACCTGATTTCAATACTTATAAAGCTACAGTCATCAAGTCAGTGTAGTATTGGTGGAATGATAAGCACGTAGATCATGGAGAAAAATAGCCCAAACATAGGCATAGGTGTGGTGAAGTGATTTTTGGCAAGGATGCAAAGGCAATTCAATGGAGGAATCAAGAAATGGTGCTGGAATGATATTTGCATATGAATATTCATATGCAAAAAATGAACTTGACCCATTCTTCATACCTCATACAAAATTTAACTCAATGGATCACAGACTTAAATATAAAGTGTGAAATCATAAACTTTCTAGAGAAAACAGGAGAGAATCTTTATGGTCTTTTGTTAGGCATAGGCAAAACACAATCCTTAATGAAAAAAATTGATGAATTGTACTTCATCATAATTCAAAACTACTCTGCTAAAGACACTGCTAAGAGATAAAAAGGCATCTTCACTCTGAGATGCTGCTTGTGGGGAGAAAATGTTTGTAAATCACACGTCTTTCAAAGGACATAATATCTGGCGGGACGCAGTGGCTCACATCTGTAATCCCAGCACTTTGGGAGGCCGAGGAGGGCGCATCACCTGAGGTCAAGAGTTCAAGACCACCAGCCTGGCTAACATGGTGAAACCCTGCCTCCACTAAAAATGCAAAAATTAGCCGGGGCATGGTGGCACATGCGTGTAATTCCAGCTACTTGGGAGGCTAAGGCAAGAGAATCGCTTGAACCGGGGAGGTGGAGATTGCGGTGAGCCGAGATTGCGTCACTGCACTCCAGCCTGGGTAATAGAGTGAGACTCCATCTCAAAAAAAAAATAAAAATAAATAAATAAAAAAGGACTTAATATCTAAAATATTGCTCCACGCTGGGCAGACTTACGCAAACCTATCTGCAAAAGTCTGAGGAAGCTGAGAGGCCGAAGAAAGAGGCTGACATATCTAGTTTCTCAGAAACATTTAATAGAAACTTAGGAACAGAAGCCACATCTGTGTCTCAGGTGGTGGTGAGACAAGATCGTGGATCCCCTCTCCACTACTCCCTAGACCCAGGCCTTATATATCATACGGAAAGGGTGCATGCTTCAGAAGGGATGTATAGGACAATTGCTGAAGGGCAGGCTTTATGGTAAGTACATACTCTTACACAAGGAACAATAGGTAAACTGGAAATCTTACAGGCTCCTTGAACTGTGGTTAATCAAAAGTCTACATGAGGCCGGGCACGGTAGCTCACGCCTGGAATCCTAGCACTTTGGGAGGCCAAGGCAGGTGGATCACTTGACGTCAGGAGTTTGAGACCAGTCTGGCGCATACTGGTCTCAGTGTGAACATAGTGAACCCTGTCTCTACTAAAAATACAAAAATTAGCTGGGCGTGATGGTGCATCCCTGTAATTCCAGCTACTTGGGAGGCTGAGGCAGGAGAATCACTTGAACCCAGGAGGCAGAGGTTGCGGTGAGCCGAGATCGCACCACTGCACTCCAGCCTGGGTGACAAAATGAGACTCTGTCTCTACAAAAAAAAAAAAAAAAAAAAGTCAACATAGCTGCTTAGCATCCAAGCTGGAGTTGCTCCACAAATATATAAATAACTCAAAACTCAACAACGAGGAAAAAAAAAAATCCACACAAGTTTGAATAGATACTTCACCAAAGTAGATATACAAATGTCAAATAAACACTTGAAAAGATGCTCAGTATAGTCAGTCATTAGCAAAATGTAAATTAAAACCATAACGGCATACCAGTGTATACCTATTAGAATGGCTAATCCCTCCCCACTCCCCCACAAACCATCCCTTGCATCCAAAACAAACAGTACCAAGTACTGGTGAGAATACAGAGCAGCTGGAACTGTCATACATCGCTAGTGAGAGACTGACTATACAAAAGGACAATGGACAGAATCAAATATAAACACAGACCTTTGTCCCATAACCTCTGTAGCAACCAGCCCTGGAAGGAAGCCAAACAAATCCTCTACAGCAATTGGCCTCAAACAGTAAGGGCTTGGTCAATAACTGCCAGATTTCTTCATTTCTGTCTCCACTTCCACTTAGGACCAACTGAGAAAGGCAAATATGCACCCCTAATCAATCATATAGCCTGCTCTGCTTCTAGTTCTGCTTATAGCTTCTCGGCGCCAACAGCCTCCAATCAGCTTGTTCTTAGGAAATCAGAAGTGGGAGGACCACTGAACCCCACTCCCTGACATCTTGATTGTTGAGAATTTGCCCTTAGAGGCTGAGCCAGATTCACATCAATTTCTGCTCCAAAATCTAAGGTGGTTCCTCCAGGAACAACTCTGTTTTATTTTATTTTCTAAGGTAGAAGATACCCTCTCCCTCTCTTGTGTGAATTCAGGAAGATCTTCAGCTTATTCTGAAGTCTGAATTTTCCCAGTGAAGCTCCTCTGTAAATTACCATCTTCCTCTAACCGATCCTTGTTTTCCAAACTGCATTCCATATTATTTGGTGCTTTTGTTCATCTAAAGCTCCTCTAGCCTTAACCCACACGGGCAGAGTGGTTTTTCCTCCTGCTTGTGGGAGTATGTTTATCTGAAGTCTGATGTCCAAACCCTGTATCTTTTTGAGAATTGTTGGGCAATGGTAGAGTTGAAGGCATTGACAGCTTGGAGGTCAATTTCAATTTTTAACACTGGGCAGAAAAAAATTCCACTGATCGTTTGCTTCTTTCCCTCAGGCCTACATTTCAGTGACATGTTCTTTGTTTTGTTTTGAGACACAGTCTCGCTCTGTTGCCCAGGCTGGAGTGCAGTGGCGCAATCTCGGCTCACTGCAAGCTCCACCTCCCAGGTTCAAGCCATTCTCCTGCCTCAGCCTCCCAAGTAGCTGGGATCACAGGTGCGCACCATCATGACTGGCTAATTTTTGTATTTTTAGTAGAGATGGGGTTTCACCATGTTGGCCAGGCTGGTCTCGAACTCCTGACCTGATCAGGTGATCCGCCTCAGCCTCCCAAAGCATTGGGATTCCAGGCGTGAGCCACCGCGCCCAGCTGAGAAGCAATATTTGACATTCTCGACACCACTTTGACAAAATAATACTTGTAAAGTACGATATTAACATATTTTTTTGATTTTGTTTTTTCAGAGACAGGGTCTCCCTCTGTTGTCCAGGCTGGAGTTCACAGGCACAATCATAGCTCACTGCAGCCTCGAACTCCTGGGCTGAAGTGATCCTTGCATCTCAGCTTCCCACACAGCTGGGATTACAGGCAAACACCATCATGCCCAGCTAATATTTTTTATTTTTGTTTTTATTTTTTGAGATGGAGTCTCGCTCTGTCACCTAGGCTGCAGTGCAGTGGCCACGATCTCGGATCATTGCAACCTCTGCCTCCTGGGTTCAAGTGATTCTCATGCCTCAGCCTCCCAAGTAGCTAGGACTATAGTTGCCCACCACCATGCTCGGCTAATTTTTGTATTTTTATTAGAGACAGGGTTTCATTATGTTGGCCAGGCTGGTCTCGAACTCCCAACCTCAGGTGATCCACCCGCCTTGGCCTCCCAAAGTGCTGGGATTACAGGCGTGAGCCACCGCACCCGGCCAATTTTTATTTTTGTAGAGACAGAATCTCACGATGTTGCCCAGGCTGGTCTCCTGAGCTCAAGTGATCCTCTCGCCTCAGACTCCAAAAGTGCTGGGATTCCAGGTAGGAGCCACTGCACCCAGTGGACACATGTATCTTTATGATCCTGGTACTTTCATAATCTCAGCTGGGGCTTACTGCACTTGAGCTCAGTTTTGGATTTTTGAGTTTCAAAAACCCAGGCATTAGGAGGCCCATGGAGAAGCAAAGTCCACATCCAGGGTCTTCTCTGCACTTACCTTGGAAATATCATCTGATGTCAGTGTCCTGGAGCCATATCGGGACAGAGAGGGTACACATAAGTGACCAGTGGACATCACCTGCATAGAAAAGCTTTGTTCGTTGTCCAAGCCTGTCGCTTTGACTGCAGCCAATGTGTCACTTATTGACTGGCCCTCTCCTGTCCCTGCTCAGCTCATCTGAACCACTTCAGGTGGATGCCTCTTCTTTCAACATCAACATTATTTGTCAGTTGCTTTGCTGACTGATCCGTTTTCTAACAGTACTTCTATGGACTTTACAAAGTCTTCTAATGTTTCAAGACTTGAAATTTCACTCTGTAGCCAGTTAGATGGACAAAGGTAGCTGGCATTAATAAAGCAGGAAGAACCGGGTGCAGTGGCTCACGCCTGTAATCCCAGCACTTTGGGAGGCCGAGGCGGGCCGATCACCTGAGCTCAGGAGTTTGACACCAGCCTGGGCAACACAGTGAAACCCTGTCTCTATCAAAAATACAAAAAATCATCCAGGCATAGCGGCAAGCGCCTGTTTTCCCAGCTACTCGGGAGACTGAGGCAGGAGAATTGCTTGAACCTGGGAGGTGGAGGTTGCAGTGAGCCGAAATCGCACCATTGCACTCCAGCCTGGGTGACAGAGCGAGACTCTGGGTCAAAAACAAACAAACAAACAAACACAAAAAAACAAAAGCCACAAAAAAAAAAAAGGAGGAAGAGGTGAGTGAACTAATTTTGAAAGTGGTCAGTTCATTGAATATTTTTTGGCTTTACATAAGCTTGGGAGTTTGAGGATTCAGAAAATAAGCATGCAGACCGTATTAGTTATCTATTTCTGCTTTACAACGACCTCAAAACTCAGTGGTGTGATGGCACATGCCTGTGGTCCCAGCTACTTGGGAAGCTGAGGTGGGAAGATCACTTGAGCCTGGGAGGTGGAGGCTACAGTCAGCTGTGACCATGCCACTGCACTCCAGCTTGAGTGACAGAGCAAGACCCTGTCTCAAAAACAAAACAAAACAAAAAACACCCATTACCTTACACAGTTTTGGGAGTCAGTTGGTTCTAGTTCAAGAGTCTTATGAGGTTTCAGTCAAGAGATTGGCTGTAGTCATCTGAAGTCTTAACCGGGGCAGGAGGATCTGTTTCCAAGATGGCTGCCCCACGTGGTTGGTAGTTGGAGGGTTCAGTTCCTCACTGGCTCGTAGCAGGAGGGCTCAGTTCCTTGCCACGTGGACCTCTCCATAGAGTTTCTTGAGTGACCTCATGACATAGTAGTTAATTTCTCTCAGAGAAAGCAGAACAAGAAAGAGGGAGAGTGGGGAGGGAGGAGACGGAAAGCCCTAATGTCTTTTAGGACCTAGCTTTGGAAGTCACACACATCATTTCATACTGCATTGGCTTTGCAGACCAACCCAGACACAATGTAGGAGACTATGGAAAGGCATGCATATCAGGAGGTCGGAATCACTGGGGGATGTTTTAAAGAATGGCCACCACGAGCATGCCCTCTGAATTCTGGTGATTTACATTCCTTCCACATGCAAAATACACTCGCTCCCTCTCAAGCTACCCCAAAGTCGAATCCCATTATAGCATCAGCTCAAAGTCTAGAATTTCATCATCTAAATCAGGTCCATGTATAGATGAGATTTCTCAACTGTATTACCTTAAGTATACTTCCAGAATACAATTCCTCCTCTTCTTTTTTTTTTTCTTTTTTAAAGAAGTTTCACTCTGTTGCCCAGGCTGGAGTGCAGTGGCACGATCTCAGGTCACTGCAATCTCTGCCTCTGGGGTTCAAGCGATTCTCCTGCCTCAGCCTCCTGAGTAGCTGGGATTACAGGTGTCCACCACCATGCCTGGCTACTTTTTGTATTTTTAGTAGAGATGAGGTTTCACCATGTTGGTCAGGCTGGTCTTGAACTCCTGAACTCAGCTGATTCTCCCACCTCGACCTCCCAAAGTGCTGGGATTACAGGCATGAGCCACCGTGCCTGGGCTCCTCTTCTTCTGAAGACCTGTAAACTAAAGAGAAAGTCATCTGACCCCACCCCCAACATACAATGTTGGAACAGGCATAGGCTAACCACCATAGATATCCCTATCCAAGACGGGAAGAAATGGCCTGGGTCTTTCCTCTCCCATCACAACTGCATCATAATCTAACCTCACTCAGTCTACCCACAAGTTACTGTGAATTACTTTTGGAAGCCTTCCCAACTCTTCAATCACACTTTTAATCTGCAAGAAAATTACTGGGTTTGTGCCATTTCTATGGAAGATGAATTTTACCCACCACATTTTGATTTTTCTGAATTTCACTTATAAAAAAAACCTTTTGGTTGGGCACGGTGGCTCACACCTGTAATCCCAGCACTTTGGGAGGCTGAGGCAGGCTGATCACATGAGGCCAGGAGTTCGAGACTAGCCTGGCCAACATAGCGAAAACCCATCTCTACTAAAAATACAAAAAATTAGCCGGGCATGGTGGCAGGCGACTGTAATTCCAGCTACTCGAGAGACTAAGGCAGGAGAATTGCTTGAGCCCGGGAGGCAGAGGTTTTAGTGAGCCAAGATCGCGCCACTGCACTCCAGCCTGGGCGACAAGAGCAAAACTCCTTCTCAAAAAAAGAAAAAAAAAAAAAGCTCAACTTTACTCATAATAAGGGTAATGCAAATTAAAATTAAAACTAGGGTACCATTTTTCACCTATCCGATTGGCTAAGGTAAGGTTATGAACACACCATTGGCAAGAGTGAGGAAGAATGGGCATTCTCATACACAGTCCACTGGTGGGAGTCTAAATCAGTACAACTTTCTACAGAGGGCAATTGAGCAGTTTCTGCCTAAATTCGATATGCTTTTGGTCCAGAAATTCTATCTCCAGGGTTTTGTTCTACAGAGATACTTTCATACGAGAAATGCTGTATATGCGAGGTTTATTTCTTTCAGCACTTTTTCATAGCTACAAAAGATTACTAATAACCTGTGTCCACTACAAGAGACTAGTAGAATTTATGGCGTTACAGCAAATGGCAGCCTTAGCAAAGAACAAGGAAGCTCTTTATGCATGGATATGGAATGACCTCCTGTTGCACTATGGAAAAACGAGATGCAGAATAAGGCATGCTACAATGTGCAGAAAAAGACAAAGATAGGCGTGTATTTGCTCAGTAATATTAGTGCACAGAAGAGACTGGTAACTGTGATTGCTGGGAGTGGAGCAACTGGGTGGCTTGGGGCCAAGAGGAGGGAGAAACTAGTGAATATCACTTTGTACCTTTTGAATTTTGAATCACATGAATGTACTTCCCAGTAAACAATTAAGCAGGGCCGGACATGATGGCTCATGGCTGTAATCCCAGCACTTGGGGAGGCCGAGGCAGGTGGATCACTTGAGGTCAGGAGTTCAAGACCAGCCTGGCCAACATGGTGAAACCCCATCTCGACTGAAAATACAAAAAGTAGCCGGGCATGTTGGTGGGTGCCTGTAATCCCAGCTACTCTGGAGGCTGAGGCAGGAGAATCGCTTGAACCCGGCAGGTGGAGGTTGCAGTGAGCCGAGATCACACCACTGTACTCTAGCCCGGGCAACAGAGCAAGACTCCATCTCATTAAAAAAAAAAACACCAAAAACAAAAAACAAGCAAACCAGAAAATATGCATCACAGACATATTTTCGTGGACTTCATTTGTGTTACCAGGCTGATTGTAATCCATGCCATGAAGTTTATGTTAGTATTCCCCTTTTGTTTACATTGCCTGATAATTTGTTTCCCTTTGTCTCCCCCAAGGGAAGCATTCATTTATAATGAATTTTTCAGCTCAGTGTGTTTCAGCAAACACTTATTGACACCCACAAACCCTGACACTGTGCCGTCTCCAGGGGAAACAAAAGTGAGAGTCCTGCTGGGTGTGTAGTCCCTGCCTAGGACGGGCTCACATTAGTGGGGGATACACACATACAAATGCTCACACTGCAGTATTAACTGTGCAACAGTAGAAGTGTGCGCAAGGAGAAAAGTGTTAGAAAGGAAAGCTGGGCCGGGCGCCGTGGCTCACACCTGTAATTCCAGCACTTTGGGAGACTGAGGTGGGTGGATCACAAGGTCAGGAGTTCAAGACCAGCGTGGCCAACATGGAGAAACCCCGTCTCTACTAAAAATACAAAAATTATCCAGGCATGGTGGCAGGCGCCTGTAATCCCAGCTACTCGGAAGGCTGAGGCAGAGAATTGCTTGAGCCCGGGAGGCAGAGGTTGCCGTGAGCCGAGATCGTGCCATTGCACTCCACCCTGCATTCCAGGGTGACAGAGTGAGACTCTATATCTCAAAAAAAAAAAAAAAAGGAAAGCTAATTCACTCTGGTGGGGTGGTGGGGGGTGAAAGTACCGGGTAAGACTTTCCTGAGAAACCGGAGGTGAACTAGGGTTTAGAAGCATGAATAGATGAATAGACTAATCCAGGAGCAAGTTCTTTTGAGAGAACAGCAGGTGGGGTTCTGGGGAACACATGGCTCCAGCCCAAAAAGAAACTGGAGACGAATTAGGGTTTAGAAGCATGACCAGACTAACCCAGAAGTGAGTTCTTTGAGAGAACAGCAGGGGCGGCGGGGGGAGGGGGGGTTCCGGGGAACACATGGCTCCAGCACAGGAGATGCCAGGGTGCAGTGGGATGAGAGGTGAGGAGAGCAGGTCAGGTTAGCAAGGGCATTGAATGCCAGAAACATTTGGACTTTTATTCTGCAGGCAACAGGGAGGCAGCGGCTTTTATGCTCAAAAGGAATGAGTCCCAGTGGCTGGCACAGAGAAGGCAAGTGTGCAAAGCTGGTCGAATGAATTCCGTGGCCTGAATGTACCTTCCTCAAATGCCACTGCAAACTGGGTCTCCTCGCCCACTTCACCCTCTCCTGCAATCCAACTTGTGAGGCTTGTGTGTGCGCGCGCGTGTCCTTGCGTGTGTGTGTGTGTGCACGCGTGCGTTTAGATGGAGGTTGGCTTCCCAGCCACCCAGGCTTGGCCCAAAGTCCGTGGTACACACGTGCATAACTCCTACCCCCACCTCGCCTGCCTGCTGTACCAGGCGTTGATTCCCTCTTCCTGCGTGTTTTCGGTCCAAATCCTTTTCTTTTTCTCCCTCCCGTCAAGATAGTGGTTTCCACTCCCTGCTCTCGCCAGGACACCGCCTTTTGGACTGGGGCTGAATTCTGCCCCTTGAAGCTCTGCTCCTTGGAGCTGGGGGCCCCAGCGGTAGGCGGAGTTGATTGGAGACCTGCCACCCACATTCCGACCCCAAGCGACCTCCGAGAGGGCGGGGTCTCAGGCTGGGTTATTTAGCTCGTCCACCCTTCTCCACCAGAAGGAGCGAAACATCTTTGAGCAAGATGGGTCTCTACCGCATCCGCGTGTCCACTGGGGCCTCGCTCTATGCCGGTTCCAACAACCAGGTGCAGCTGTGGCTGGTCGGCCAGCACGGGGAGGCGGCGCTCGGGAAGCGACTGTGGCCCGCACGGGGCAAGGTGAGCTCCCCAGAGCCGGGCGGGGTGGGCTGCGCCCCTGGCTCCGAGTCAGTCAAATACCGGGGAGGACATGCGCCCCCGTTGGCCTCTGGCCGATTCTCTTTGCCAAGGGCCCGCGCATTGGGCTCAAAGCGCGCGGAGGCCACGGGGGTGGGGGGCTTTAGGGCAGTCGGTGGCACACAGTAAGCGCTCAATAAATGTTGCCGCTACCCGATCTCCTTGGAATTGAGGGCATGCTCCTGTGCGCCCCTCATTGCACAAAGCTCCCTTGTCTGGAAACTCAGCAGTCACTGGAGCCGCCGTCGGTCCTCTCGCTTTCTCTATTTTAAAAACCGTTTCAACCGCTAGCGCTGTTGGATCTCTACCTTTCAGGCTTTATCACCTGGGGTGGAGTGGGTGGTGAGAGGGAAGGGATGGGGAGTCAAGACAGGAGAACGCTCTCGATTTCCCGACCCACCTCCCGTCATATCTCATGTCACATCTACCGGGTGTTCTACCCGGTCCTGTTAACTTTTTTTCTTCCGCGAAAGCCCAAATTCCCATCACTGCTCTAGCTCTCTCCCAGATCCCCAAATCCGGATGTCTGTCTCAGGGAACGTCAAAGCAACATGCCCGGATGAGGTCCTCCCCTCTCCCCACCTCCCAGCCCTCTCCTCCTGCCTCCCCCGGTGTCACCCGCGCCTCCTTCCTCTCTTCACCTCCCTCTAAACAAGAATCCGGCGCAGTCAGTTCTAGACCCTGAGCATCTCCCGCGTCCCTGCCCAATATCCGTCCCGCCCCCGACCGCCCGCGTCCTCTTGAACCTGCGGAGCCCTGCTCCCCGCACTCCACGCCCTTGCTCCGAGCTTCCGAGAAAGCGGGGCAAAGGGAGCCAGGAAGAGAGAAAATGCGCACGGAGCAGGTGGCCCCGCGACTCCATGGTGAGGGGACGGGGCACGGAAGGTGGAAAGGCGCGCTCCCTCCTCCCTTTTTTCCTCCCTATGGTGGGCAGTTGGTGACACACAGTAAAGGCTCAATAAATGTTCCCGCTACTCGATCTCCTTGGAATTAAGGGGATGCTCCTGAGCGCCCCTCATTCCACACAGCTCTGGTGCCTGGAAACTGCGGTCGCCGGAGC
Organism: Homo sapiens; assembly: GCF_000001405.40. Taxonomy (NCBI): domain Eukaryota; kingdom Metazoa; phylum Chordata; class Mammalia; order Primates; family Hominidae; genus Homo; species Homo sapiens. The sequence goes on along the minus strand of NC_000017.11, from coordinate 4,640,399 downwards.
GGTCGTCGGTCCTCCCGGTTTCTCTATTTTAAAAGCCATTTCAAACCTCCAGCGGCCTCGCCACCTCTGCTGCAGACCTTCCAAGCCCTTCTGAAGCCGGAATGATTTCTCCCTAATTCACTCCCCCTGCTTAACACATTCGAACGGCTCCCGCTTGTTCTCGGGACCAAATCCAAAGCCCCTGGCGCCACCTTCGAGAGCCTCCGGACCTGCTGACCCCCCACACCTGGGCTCTGAGCTCCAGCTCCAAGATGCTGCTCGCCCTCCCTTCCCCGCCGCTCTCTTTCTGCGCGCCTTTCCCCTGCCTTCCCTTTCTGTCACTCTCCCTGGCTGAGCCCTCTCCGCCTCCAGGTCTCCGGGAAGGTTGTCCCCAGGCCGGTGGGGCCCCTGCAGGTCCTCAGCCTCGGGCGGGGTGGGGTGGGGGGTCGCACAGCGGGAATTGCCACCAGCGCGTCCGGGCTCCACAGCGCGCTCGTCCAGGGCGCGGCAGCGCTCAGCCCAGCGCTTGGCACAGTCAGTGACCACAGGGAGGAGAAAGTGAAGGCAGGAGCGCACCTTCCCACCTGCCGTCCCCGTCCCCTCAGAACCGAGTCCTGGGGCCACCTGCTCGGCGCGGTCCCTCTCTCTCTGGCTCAGTCCCCGCACCCCGATACGTCTCCTCCTCTCAGAGGCTCCGAGGAAGGGCGTGGGCGCTGGAGGGAGCAGGGCTCAGCCGGGTGCCCCTCCCGCCAGGCCCCACCGGGGCTGAGCCTCTTCTGTCGCCCGCAGGAGACAGAACTCAAGGTGGAAGTACCGGAGTATCTGGGGCCGCTGCTGTTTGTGAAACTGCGCAAACGGCACCTCCTTAAGGACGACGCCTGGTTCTGCAACTGGATCTCTGTGCAGGGCCCCGGAGCCGGGGACGAGGTCAGGTTCCCTTGTTACCGCTGGGTGGAGGGCAACGGCGTCCTGAGCCTGCCTGAAGGCACCGGTAAGCGCGGGGCTGAGGGTGTCAGGAGGCCTCTGGGCTGTGTGAGAAGCTGGGGGGATGCGCGTGTGGAGAAGAGGGCGCAGGATGGGGGTGCTGGAACCTGGAGCGCCGGGGTCTTTGGGGGTGTCGAAGGGGCGGTGGCTGCAGCTGGCACAAAGTGGCTGGAGCCTGGGGGAGGGGCGTGATGCTGAAGGGGCAGAGGCCACACAGAAGGACGGGGTGCTGAGGCTCTCCTGGCAGAGACAAGAAGAGGCGCTCACCAAAAGTCACTGGCCAAGTCCTCCTCTGTCCTTCTAGGCCGCACTGTGGGCGAGGACCCTCAGGGCCTGTTCCAGAAACACCGGGAAGAAGAGCTGGAAGAGAGAAGGAAGTTGTACCGGTGAGCCCTCCTCCCCTGACCCCACGTGAGCTGCTGATGCTTCCAGCACCCATACTTGATTTCCTTCCTGCCCCACAGGTGGGGAAACTGGAAGGACGGGTTAATTCTGAATATGGCTGGGGCCAAACTATATGACCTCCCTGTGGATGAGCGATTTCTGGAAGACAAGAGAGTTGACTTTGAGGTTTCGCTGGCCAAGGGGTGAGAGCAAGGGGAGGCTGGGTGAGAGGGAGGTGTCCTGGTCTAGTGGAAGCCAAGGGGCTTATGGGCTGCACTGCATTGGACTGGCCCAGGATCGGTGCCTGTGGTCGTCATGTTAGAGCCTCAGAATGATGCTCAAACCCTTTGCCCCATCCTGCCCTGAAGGCTGGCCGACCTCGCTATCAAAGACTCTCTAAATGTTCTGACTTGCTGGAAGGATCTAGATGACTTCAACCGGATTTTCTGGTGTGGTCAGAGCAAGCTGGCTGGTCAGTCCCCCACCCCAGTATGTCTCCCAACCCCCCAGATCCCACCCAGATCCCACCCAACCCAGGGGAATTGAAAGAAGCAGGGTGGGGAGACCAGAGACTTGGGTCCCTCTGGTGGGCTGGAGTCAAGGAGGCATGGTTGGTGGGGTTGGAAGGACCAAGAGCTCAGATCCCACAACTTGCTCAACAACTGCCTTCCCCAGAGCGCGTGCGGGACTCCTGGAAGGAAGATGCCTTATTTGGGTACCAGTTTCTTAATGGCGCCAACCCCGTGGTGCTGAGGCGCTCTGCTCACCTTCCTGCTCGCCTAGTGTTCCCTCCAGGCATGGAGGAACTGCAGGCCCAGCTGGAGAAGGAGCTGGAGGTATGGACATCAGAGCCCTGAGGAAGCTCAGCAGTGAAGTGGGGTGGCCTAGTGCCAATGATGCTGCTGCGGGACCCACTGTGGGCCTGGCTTGCTGCCAGCCAGCAAGGACGGATTCTGCAGGAGAGGTCCTGAGGGACCCTGGAGAAGCTCAGCTGCTCGGCCTCCTTCCTACACGAGAGTAGCTGCGGAGGGAGGGCGTGCAAGATGGAATGGTTGATAGAAACAAGGTCAAATGAAGAAATGTGACTGGCCCCTGGTGCTAGGGATTCGGGGAGTGTGCAGAGTAAGAGAGTCAGGATCAGAGTGCTGTGGCTGTTCATCAGGAGGCGATATGGAACAACAGAGAGGAAATTCATGGGATTAAGGGCAGATAGGCTTGGATGTGAATCCTGGTTCTGCTATTTGTAAGCTGTGTGACCTCAGGCAAAATACCCAACCTCTCTGATTATCTGTTTCCTCTTCTGTAAAATTGAGGCTCATTCAACTAGGTATAAAAATTATAAGGCTGAGCACAGTGACTCACACCTGTAATCCCAGCACTTTGGGAGGCTGCAGGAGGATCACCTGAGCCCAGGAGTTGGAGACCAGCCTAGGCAACGTGGTGAAACCCTGTCTCTACAAAAGTACAAAAATTATCACCTGTAATCTTTGGTGTAGTGGCATGCACCTGTAGTCCCAGCTACTTGGGAGGCTGAGGTGGGAGGATCACCTGGGCCCAAGGAAGTCAAGGCTGCAGTGAGCCGTGGTGATCCTGCCACGCACTCCAGCCTGGGCAGCACGGTAAGACCCTGATTAAAAAAAAAAATGATATGAGGAAGTAAGCACATGATCCATTACCTGGTATAAAGTAGATGATGGAGACGAGTTAGCTCCACTCTCTTCCCCCTTGGAGGAATCCGAGTAGGAAGAAGATGCTTTATGTTGATAGCAGCCCTTGACCTCTTCCCCCACCCAGGGAGGCACACTGTTCGAAGCTGACTTCTCCCTGCTGGATGGGATCAAGGCCAACGTCATTCTCTGTAGCCAGCAGCACCTGGCTGCCCCTCTAGTCATGCTGAAATTGCAGCCTGATGGGAAACTCTTGCCCATGGTCATCCAGGTGAGAGGACTCAGGATTTCTGCTCCCAGTCTCTGGCTTTTGAGAAAGCTCAGCCCCTTATCAAAATTTACTGAGCACCATCTGCAAAGGCACTGGGCTAAGGCACCTGGGAGACGCGAAAGGAGGAAATGCGCCAAGTCTCTATTCGAAGGCCTTGCAGTGTAGCTGGAGAGACAGACTGGGCCAGTCTGCAGAAGCTCCAGGACTGAGGAAGTCCCTGAGGACAGAGACAGCCCAGGAGGGATTGGGGAGGTGGGGTGTCACGAGCTTTGGAGGAGGGCCAGGTCTCAGACAAGCAGGAGGGAGAGGAAGGACCGGTCCTCAGGGGCAAGACAGACTGGGCAGAGGCTGAGGTAGAGGAGTCAGGCAATTCCTAGGGGACAGTTGGACCAGAAGCCAGACTAAGCCAGGCTAAGGAGTATGAGGTGGGAAGCTGGAGAAGGCCGTGATGAAACGTGCTGTGGGCACGCGGTGTGGGCAGTGGTGTTTAGGGTGGGTTGGAGAGGGGAGATGCTAGAAATAGGGACTGGGGCAACATGCCCCAGCACTGACCCCAGGAGGAGGGGAGCTCGGATGTGGGTAGTGACCATCAGGATGGAGAGGACAGGTGGATGCGAGTGCAGAGGGAGATCAAGGAGAGGGGAAAGGGGAGCCAGGCCAGTTGCCTGCAGAAATAGCACCGATAAAGAGAACAGGGTGCCCAGGTGGATTTTTGTCTGGCCAATGTTGAGGTAACGGGAAGACACTTAAATTATCCAGCAGGCAGCTGAGAACAAGAGATTCAGTCATTTGTGTAGAGGTGGGGCCAAAAGATGAGTTTTCAAAAAACAGTGTGGGATGGAGGAAGCAGGTGGTTTGAATCTTGTCCACACTGTGGGAACTGAAAGGGGAAGTGGAGGCTGGAGGAGGCACCAGAAGAGCAGTTTCTGCAGAATGCTGGAGGCAAAGCAGCTTGCAGGGTGCTAATGCACTGAGCGGGCAGGAAGGGGAGGGGAGGAAACGGGAGCCGTAGGGAGCGGCAGGAGTGAGATGGGGAAAGCAGAACAGGTTTGGAGGACGAAGGGTGAGGTTAACATGCAAGGGGGGCGGGAATCGCTGAGTGCCTGGCACTCATGCCTTCTCTCCCCACACTTGTCCCTGCTCCAGCTCCAGCTGCCCCGCACAGGATCCCCACCACCTCCCCTTTTCTTGCCTACGGATCCCCCAATGGCCTGGCTTCTGGCCAAATGCTGGGTGCGCAGCTCTGACTTCCAGCTCCATGAGCTGCAGTCTCATCTTCTGAGGGGACACTTGATGGCTGAGGTCATTGTTGTGGCCACCATGAGGTGCCTGCCGTCGATACATCCTATCTTCAAGGTAACTCCTTATCCCCTTCTCTCTTGCCTGCCACTATCTCTGCCCCAGGGCACGTTCCGACCTCTGGAGGCTCCCTCTCTGTGGGGTCTCGGGGTACAGAGAGAAACAATGAATGGACAATGTGAGAGCAACAGAGAATGAGCAGGGCTGGCCATGCATTTTCAAAGGGGATAGCACCTCCCACCTGGGAAAGTGGCGAAAATAATCTTACTCTTTTTATATGTAAAGCACAGTACATGCAAATGACCAAGGATTCCATCCAACAAGAGGAACCCGTGAAATAACGTTAAAAAGATCTTTTCCAGACATTGATTTTTTTTTTTTTTTTGAGATGGAGTCTCCCTTTGCCCAGACTGGAGTGCAGTGATGCGATCTCGGCTCACTGCAACCTCTGCCTCCTGGGTTTAAGCAATTCTCCCACTTCAGCCTCCCCAGTAGCTGGGATTACAGTCGCGCACCACCAGGCCTGGCTAATTTTTTTTGTATTTTTAATAGAGACAGGATTTCACCATGTTGGCCAGGCTGGTCTCGAATGCCTGACCTCAGATGATCTGCTTGTCTAGGTCTCCCAAAGTGCTGGGATTACAGGCGTGAGTCACTGTGCCTGGTCCAAGTTTGTCTTCTTTAAAGAACTGAAAGAAGCCTAGTGTAATGGATGAAGGAGAGAGGGAGGAGACCAGGCTCTGGAGGGAGGCAGTGGTTAGAACATCCATTCTCAGTGGGGGCACAATGTCCCCCAAGGGATGAAGATGGTTGGAAAATGTGTGTGAAAAATATTATTATTATTATTATTATTATTGCTGCCCAGGCTGGAGTGCAGTGTCACGATCTTGGCTCACTGCAACCTCTGCCTCCTGGGTTCAAGCAATTCTCCTGCTTCAGCCTCCCGAGTAGCTGGGATTCAGGTGCCTGCCACCATGCCTGGCTAATTTTTGTATTTTTAGTAGAGATGAGGTTTTGCCATGTTGGTCAGGCTGGTCTGAAACTCCTGACCTCAGGTGATCCGCCCACCTCGGCCTCCCAAAGTGTTGGGATTACAGGCGTGAGCCACCGTGGCCGGCCAAATCTTATTACTTTATATAGCACAGATATAATGTGATATATATCTATATAAAGCACAGATATAATGCAATACATAGACAGATATACAGTATATATGTAGCATTAATATTTAATGAGGTGGAGTGAGATTAGGAAAAAACATCTCAAAAGGGTACTTAGTGGGTGATTAAAAAAAAAAAAGTTGAGAAATCTTGGTCTAGACCTATGAAAAAATATGAAAAGAAAAGGAGGCCAGGCACGGTGGTTCACGCCTGTAATCCCAGCTACTCGGGAGGCTGAGGCAGGAGAATCGCGTGAACCCAGAAGACGGAGGTTGCAGTGAGCCGAGATCACACCACTGTACTTCAGCCTGGGAAACAGAGCAAGACTCCATCTCAAAACAAAACAACAACAACAAAGAATGATTTCTTTCAATTATCATAAAGCACTAAGTCTGGTTTGTGGAATGGAAATAGTTGATGCAAATCAACTGAAAGCTCAGTGGTTTTATTTTTATGTATTTATTTTTAACTTTAATTTTAGGTTCAAGGATACATGGGCAGGTTTGTTCTGTAAGTAAATTGTGTGTCATGGGGCTTGGTGTACAGATTATTTTGTCACCAGGTAATAAGCATGGTACCCCATAGGTAGTTTTTGGATCCCCTCACTCCTTCCACCCTCTGTCCACAAGTAGATGCTGGTGTCTGTTGTTCCCTTATTTGTGTCCATGTGTACTCAATGTTTAGCTCTCACTTATAAGTAAGAACATACCATATTTGGCTTTCTGTTCCAGTGTTAGTGCACTTAGGATTATGGCCTCCAGCTCCATCCATGTTGCTGCAGAGAACATGATCTTGTTCTTCTTCATGGCTGCATAGTATTCCACAGCATATGTCTACCACATTTTCTTTACCTGGTCTATTGTTGATGGGCATTTAGGTTGATTCCATATCTTTGCTATTGTGAGTAGTGCTGGATGAACATCCGTGAGCATGTGTGTTTATAGTAAGGCGATTTATATTTTGGGAGGTATATATCCAGTAATGGGATTGCTGGGTTGAATGGTACTTCTGAAAACTCACTGTTGAGAGGCCACTGAACTTTACGTCTGTGCTTTTTCTGAAGACCTGGTGCCTTTCCTGCTGTCAGCCCTTGTTTCCTGCAGGGATCTTGCAGCTCTCCTCTGACTCTGCCCTTCCCTGTGTTTCTCCCTCTAGCTTATAATTCCCCACCTGCGATACACCCTGGAAATTAACGTCCGGGCCAGGACTGGGCTGGTCTCTGACATGGGAATTTTCGACCAGGTATGGGAAGAGAAAGGGAGATTCTGGGTCTGTCTTTTTTCCAGCTCTGGATTCAGGGCAGGTCGATTCGCCTGACCCTGCTCACCCTCACTTCTCAGATAATGAGCACTGGTGGGGGAGGCCACGTGCAGCTGCTCAAGCAAGCTGGAGCCTTCCTAACCTACAGCTCCTTCTGTCCCCCTGATGACTTGGCCGACCGGGGGCTCCTGGGAGTGAAGTCTTCCTTCTATGCCCAAGATGCGCTGCGGCTCTGGGAAATCATCTATCGGTGAGGCAAGCGGGAAGGCCAGTGGGGGTGCAAGTGGGGGTGGAGAAGACATGTAGGAGAGCAGGAGGTCTGCGTCTGGTTGGGGGCCTGGGGCCCTGACCTGGCCATGTGAGCAGGGGCAGAGCTGGCTTCAGCTCCCTGGCCCTGCTCCGTTGGTTGGTAGGTATGTGGAAGGAATCGTGAGTCTCCACTATAAGACAGACGTGGCTGTGAAAGACGACCCAGAGCTGCAGACCTGGTGTCGAGAGATCACTGAAATCGGGCTGCAAGGGGCCCAGGACCGAGGTAAGAGGAGCCCCTGCCCTGAGATCTCAGACACAAAGCCCAAGAGATCTTCCCAGAATCCCCTGTGCTTCTGTGAAATCTCCCAGAAGCATTTTCAACACCTATGAGAACTCCAGAGGCCTTCTCAGATTCCACTCCCTGTCACCTAGAGACAGGTCCCCGTCCTACACACTGAGAACCTCTAGGTGCCAGATGCAGCGGGACCAGTGGCTGCTCATAAATGTTTAACAACTGACTCTCGGGAAGAACCGTCCTGATTTGTAGCTTTTGCACATTTCCATGGTATAAATATTTTTACTGTGACTACCAAGGTGATGCTGACCAGCTTGCTAAACACCTAACGTCATGGACTGACTCTTGCGAGCCAGTGTGAGTCAGCAGCAGCACCCCACTGAGTGGGACCCTCCCGGCAGAGCTCCCCACTCCCCCACCCCAACCTGCTGTCATGGTAATTCCTGTAAGAGTTAACTGAGCATTCCTGCCGCTCTTTCTCGCCCTTGTTCTCCTCTCTTGGCCTCTTCCTCTGAGCGCTGCCCTACTCCTGCCTTCGCAGCTTCTAACTCTCTTCACCCCTTGCAGGGTTTCCTGTCTCTTTACAGGCTCGGGACCAGGTTTGCCACTTTGTCACCATGTGTATCTTCACCTGCACCGGCCAACACGCCTCTGTGCACCTGGGCCAGGTACTTACCAGAGATGGGCAGCTGGGAATTTGGGGCCTGGAGTGAGGGAGGGGTCTGTGTGCAGGTGGACCACGGGGCTCGCGTGCTTGGTAGGCACTGACTCTGGATCCCTGCCCTTCCTTAGCTGGACTGGTACTCTTGGGTGCCTAATGCACCCTGCACGATGCGGCTGCCCCCGCCAACCACCAAGGATGCAACGCTGGAGACAGTGATGGCGACACTGCCCAACTTCCACCAGGCTTCTCTCCAGATGTCCATCACTTGGCAGCTGGGCAGACGCCAGCCCGTTATGGTGAGAGCTGAGTGCCCAGGGCCCTAAGGAAGGAGGCAGCTGTGGGGACGTGTGGCATCCCAGACTGGGGGTCATAAGGCTCTCAGCCACCTTTTCCTCTCCCTCCCAGGTGGCTGTGGGCCAGCATGAGGAGGAGTATTTTTCGGGCCCTGAGCCTAAGGCTGTGCTGAAGAAGTTCAGGGAGGAGCTGGCTGCCCTGGATAAGGAAATTGAGATCCGGAATGCAAAGCTGGACATGCCCTACGAGTACCTGCGGCCCAGCGTGGTGGAAAACAGTGTGGCCATCTAAGCGTCGCCACCCTTTGGTTATTTCAGCCCCCATCACCCAAGCCACAAGCTGACCCCTTCGTGGTTATAGCCCTGCCCTCCCAAGTCCCACCCTCTTCCCATGTCCCACCCTCCCTAGAGGGGCACCTTTTCATGGTCTCTGCACCCAGTGAACACATTTTACTCTAGAGGCATCACCTGGGACCTTACTCCTCTTTCCTTCCTTCCTCCTTTCCTATCTTCCTTCCTCTCTCTCTTCCTCTTTCTTCATTCAGATCTATATGGCAAATAGCCACAATTATATAAATCATTTCAAGACTAGAATAGGGGGATATAATACATATTACTCCACACCTTTTATGAATCAAATATGATTTTTTTGTTGTTGTTAAGACAGAGTCTCACTTTGACACCCAGGCTGGAGTGCAGTGGTGCCATCACCACGGCTCACTGCAGCCTCAGCGTCCTGGGCTCAAATGATCCTCCCACCTCAGCCTCCTGAGTAGCTGGGACTACAGGCTCATGCCATCATGCCCAGCTAATATTTTTTTATTTTCGTGGAGACGGGGCCTCACTATGTTGCCTAGGCTGGAAATAGGATTTTGAACCCAAATTGAGTTTAACAATAATAAAAAGTTGTTTTACGCTAAAGATGGAAAAGAACTAGGACTGAACTATTTTAAATAAAATATTGGCAAAAGAATATAGAGCATCAAAAAATTTTTCTGGGTTCATATGCTTGATGTGGTAAAGAATTAAAAATTTTTTATTTTTATTGAGACAGAATCTTGCTCTTGCTGCCCAGGCTGGAGTGCAATGGCGCGATCTTGGCTCGCTGCAACCTTCGCCTCCCAGGTTCAAACAATTCTCCTGCCTCAGCCGCCCAAGTAGCTGGGATTACAGGCGCCTGCCACCACGCCCAACTAATATTTTGTATTTTTAGTAGAGATGGGGTTTCGCCATGTTGGCCAGGCTGGTTTCGAACTCCTGACCTCAGGTGATCCACCCGCCTCGGCCTCCCAAAGTGCTGGGATTACAGGTGTGAGCCGCCCTGCCCGGCCTAAAAATTTTTTAAAATTAAAAAAAAATTGTCTTCTAACTGGATAGGATTTAATTTGTGTCCTGAAACCAGACACACTACAAAGGAAACCATTAACATAGTGAGTCCTAAGAATGTTTGACTTTGAAGATTTTCATTTCAAGGCTCAAGCAGAAAATATGAAACAAAAGTCAGCTGGTTGAACTGAAGAAGCTGCTCCTGGCTGGAGATACGTGGCCTTAGGACTTCAGCCTGAGGCATCCGTGTCTTAACCCATCTGCCGTTCACCAGTTGGCAAGCTGCAAGTTAATATAATTAACTGGAAGAAGACTAAACATTTCATTATTATCATAATGAGTACAACAACGGATTCAATGAACTTCAACTTCTGTATCATGTTACAATTTGGGGAAAATAAACTTGGAAATTTTCTTTCTTTTTTTTTTTTTTTTTTTTGAGACGGAGTCTTGCTCTGCCACCCAGGCTGGAGTGCAGTGGTGCGATCTCAGCTCACTGCAACCTCCGTCTCCTGGGTTCAAGCAATTCTCCTGCCTCAGCCTCCCAAGTAGCTGGGATTACAGGTGCCCACCACCATGCCCGGCTAATTTTTTTGTATTTTTAGTAGAGACAAGGGTTCACTGTGTTGGCCAAGTTGGTCTCGAACTTCTGACCTCAGGTGATCCACCCGCCTTGGCCTCCCAAAGTACTGGGATTACAGGCATGAGCCACCGCACCCGGCCTTTATTTCTTAATGTGATCATCTGTGAGTATTTTAAAACAAACTAACGGTATACACAAAACAAAAGTGTTTCATTTATAATGTGAATAAAGTTGCTTCTTGCCTCTGGTTCTGTTTAATTCTACAGAAGACATACTGGCAATGTTTGGTCTGATTTTTCTTTTAAGACGGAGTCTCACTTTGTTGCCCAGGCTGTAGTGCAGTGGCGCAATCTTGGCTCACTGATACCTCTGCTTCCCGGGTTCTCCTGCCTCAGCCTCCCGTGTAGCTGGGATTACAGGTGCCCGCCACCACACCCAGCTAATTTTTTGTATTTTTGGTAGAGATGGGATTTCATGTTGGCCAGGCTGGTTTTGAACTCTCAACCTCAGGTGACCCGCCTGCCTCGGCCTCCCAAAGTGCTGGGATTCCAGGTGTGAGCCACCGTGCCTGGCCTATATCAGTTCTCATCCCATGAAATAGTTCCCCTTAATCACAGACTAAAAAACTATATATTTTTTCACTTCTATTGAAGTCTTAGATGGATTTCCTGATAGAGAATGTAAAATTTACACTCAATGATCATCACAGAAATAAAATCATTACAATCTTTTAAAATCCTTTTATTCACCTTGAAAGCAATTTTGGATTTCAGACTTTAAAAATAATATTTCCTGGCTGGGGGCAGTGGCTCACGCCTGTAATCCCAGCACTTTGGGAGACCAAGGCGGGCGGATCACCTGAGGCCGGGAGTTCAAGACCAGCCTGACCAACGTGGAGAAACCCCATCTCTACTAAAAATACAAAATTAGGCGGGCATGGTGGTGCATGCCTGTAATCCCAGCTACTCGGGAGGCTGAGGCAGAATTGCTTGAACTCGAGAGGTGGAGGTTGTGGTGAGCTGAGATCGTGCCATTGCACTCCAGCCTGGGTAACAAGAGAGACCCTCCATCTCAAAAAAAATATCTATATATCTATATATCTATATATTATGTTCACTGAAGGTTGCTTTAAGGACGGTGCTAGGCCCACACTGAGAAGAGTATCTGTAACAAAATAGGCATTCAGTAATCTTTTTTTAAGTTAATGAGCAAAAAAATTAAAAATATATGTTTCAACTGGATCATATTTCCCAATGCAAATACCAGGGGCTTCCATGAAAAACTTTTGAGGGCTTTTTTTTTTTTTCTTGAAGGGCAATTTTTTTTCATATAAAGTTTGTATTGAACAAACTTTTACAAAGAACGATTTCGCACTATGGCAGAGTATGTCTGCACATCGCATTTGTATTTGCTCTTTATGATGAAATTATCAAACACATTAATAAGATCTGAAGGTCTAGTTTCCAAGAAAGGAAGATGGTCATGGATGCTGGTGTAAGCCAGGCCTTCTACAAAAATTTGAACAACTGCCTGATCCCTTGAGTTGTGAAAGGTATTTTAAAATTAGTATTGCATAGTAAAAATTATGTTAATTATTGTTGTTTTCAGTGTTAATTATGGGCTTACTAATTGCATAAATAATGACTTCCTTAATGTTTTATTTCAAAGTAGAGTTTAGGATGCTAAACATATGTTTATTGTTTGCAAATATCTATGTGCTGGCATTTATGTGAGCCAAGCAGTCTGATTGGGCCAAACCCTGGGAAATGTAAATATATTTATTCTTATTTTACTATTTGGCACAGCCTGTTGTCTCCCAATAACTGTAATAATGTCTGCTATTGAATCGTGGCAGACACCATCCAGTGTTTCTCGGAATACAGGCAGCCCTCCTACACTCTGCATCAGAGCCCCTCCCGCAGGGGATGCTTGTTAAAGGATGGATTCGCAGGACCCGCCGCTGAATCAGAACTTAAGTTTAAAAAAGGCTGCACCTTCACGGGTGCTCGCTCTGTCCTACCAGTGAGCTTCCCTTTAGTTTCGCGTTTCCACAGGAAACAGGACATAGATCTAAAATTGCCTTTGCACTTGGACTGGTTTCCTTTGCTGACCTAATACAGAATAGCTTTTTGTGCTGTGACTGCGAGTGTGTTGAACAGATCCTCTGTATTTTAGGAGAAGAAATTTGGTGCCTCGTTGCTCACCATCACCACTGGCCCTGGTAGCTCTGCGGATAAACCAGCTTGGATTTCACCCTTGAGGATTAACATTGCAACACTGCATAGGCACATAAAGCCACCTGAAAGTCAAGATGAGGCAGGTAATGTGCGCACTGGGATCTCGTGTGGTTGGTGTCTTGTCTTTTGCCATTTGTCGGGTACAGCAGCTGCAGTTGCTGAAGCAGGTGAGTAACTTTCAAGAGCCGAACCAACTGCAAGAAGCTCTCCTGGAAAGGGGCATGAAGGCTGCTGACCCTCCTCCTGCCCCTCCGCCGACCAACTCCACACCTGGGATTAGAGGGGAGGAAACCTTTATCCCATATTCTCTTATGTTCTATTGCTGGGGACCTGCAAATTAAACTGACAGAACACAGATTAACAAGAGAAAAAGGATACAAATTTTACGGATGTTAATGTTTTATGGGTACAGGAGCTTCACAAAAAGAAGTAGAAAACTCCAATAAGTGTTTAGACTTGAGAAATTATATACTATTTGAGCAAAGGGTGATAGGTTATAGAGAAGTGACTGAATAAAGAAAAGAATGTTTGGGCTTCCGGGGTAATAAACTGTAAGAAAGTGTTTAGGAATATATGGGAGAAATTAATGGACGAGAACAGTTATCTCTCTTCCATTTGTTTGTTTATGTAGACTCTTCTCAATGCAACTCCTGTCACTGGTGATAAGAGTCACTCTCTTTCTTCTGGGTACAGAGGGGCATCTTCCTCAAAGCAAAATTTAGGTCCTGCATTTAGGCAGATAAGGGAGGACAGAGAACTTTTACTGCATCTGTTGTTTCTTCATTGTCTATAGCTCAAATTATTCTTTTGCCGAGGTAGCATATTTTGGGGGTGGCATGTTGTGATCCTCTTTAGGATCATCAGCACCTCCAGCTAGGGTGAGGCTGGACAGGAGCTGGCACAAAGGAGGCTTTCAGGCAGTTTCCTTGAGTTCTAACCGCAACCCCTGCAGAACAATTGGCCTGTGGCCTGCTGTCCCCACTATGCCTGAATTGCTGTGGACTAATTTATGAGTAGCCCTCTGAACCCAGAGGAAGCTCGAGGAGCAGAATTGACATACCCATCAGCTAGAATCGCTGTAGGAAGACAGAATCAGTGAACATAAAGTATCCAAGTTCGAACAACTGAAAATGAAATCATAATTAATTTTTAAAAGAGTTTTGTGAAATATGTGGATAAAGCATACTTTCCGATGAGCCTAATACTATGAATGATAAATTATAAATGGGAGTCCTATTTCAAATCTAAGCAAGGATGGCTGGGCGCAGTGACTCATGCCTGTAATCCCAGCACTTTGGGATGCCGAGGCGGGTGGATCACTTGAGGCTAGCAGTTCAAGACCAGCCTGGTCAACATGGTGAAACCCCATCTCTACTAAAAATACATAAATTAGCTGGGCATGGTGGCAGGTGCCTGTAATCCCAGCTACTCAGGAGGCTGAGGCAGGAGAATCACTTGAACCCGGGAGGTGGAGGTTGCAGTGAGCTGAGATCGTGCCACTGCACTCCAGCCTGGGTGACAGAGTGAGACTCCATCTCAAAAAGAAAAAAAAAAAAAATCCAAGCGGACTTAGACTCACAGAAATCATTATGTTCCACGAGAGGGCAGTATAGTAACTCGTTTATAAAACAGTAGGCTCGGAAGAGCAGAGGAAAACATTTGTGAACAGTTTTAAAATTTGTGATGAGCACCGGGCGCGGTGGCTCACACCTGTAATCTCAGCACCCTGGGAGGCCGAGGCGGGAGGATCACCTGAGGTTGGGAGTTTGAGACCAGCCTGACCAACGTGGTGAAACACCGTCTCTGCTAAAAATACAAAAAAATTAGCCGGGCTTGGTGGCGCATGCCTGTAATCCCAGCTACTGGGGAGACTGAGGCAGGAGAATTGCTTGAACCCCAGAGGCGGAGGTTGCAGTGAGCGGAGATCGCGCCACTGCACTCCAGCCTGGGCAACAAGAGCAATACTCCGTCTCAAAAAACAAACAAACAAACAAACAAACAAAAGATTGTGATGAGAACCTGTTTGAGCAGAAACAAAATCAAATCGCATTTTTACCATAAAGTGTTTGTCTCTATGACATGATGACTACTCAGGAAGATTGGTTTTTTCAAGTAGGAATGACATACTTTTGAAAAAGTAAGTTGCTTGACTTGGAATTAAATGGAATTGCTTTCGTTCGTTGCTATGTTGCTCGGTTGCTATGTGGTCTAGTAGAAGCTACAAACAAAATCCAGGAGATCACATTTCCTCTGCCTCAGCCCCTGGAAAAGCTTTATATGCCTGAGTCCTCACCTCCAGTTGTGCCTGGAGCTACGAAGTTTGCGGGAGAGTTTAAATTGGGAAAGATAGTAATCCTTACAGCCAGCTTTATCTGAACTCTGAGTACCAGGCTGGGCGCTTTACATGGATTATTTCTTTCAGCCCCATGATAGCTCTATGAGTTAGGAACTATTATTATCTTCATTAAACCAAGGCCCATAGAGGACTGAGTGTTTGCCCGTGGGACACGCACGGCTCATCGATGGCAGATGCAAAGTCGGGATTCAAACCGGGCAGATCAAATCTAGATCCCAAGTTTGAGCTATTTCTAGGCAATTGGTGGCAAAGACAGAACTAGAACCCATATCTCTTTGTTACAAATTAAAGAGTGACTTTAATATTGAAAACGATGTGTATGGCGGGACTGGGTAGAAGAAACCTTTGGAAGACGGCTGATGGGACAGACGCAAAGTGACTGTGTTTGCAAAAAGACAGGTTCATGCCAAGAAACGAGAACATTCCAGGCTGAGCTGGGATGCCCCATTTATGCCAATTATGCAGTGTCAGAGTGGCCAAGACCAGAGGGATTTCCCCATTGCCTTCTCAAACTCCAAAGAGCTCTGAGATCCACAAGCTGGTGGGGTTCCCAGGAGAAGCCTGCAGAAGGTGCTTCCTCCTCCAGGCCACAGAAGAGGACAGAGAGAAGTTCCCCTAAATCCCCAGAGCCCTTAGTCAAGTTCATCCCAAAACTATCCGAATAATCATCACTGCTATCCCTTGAGAATTCAAATGCCAGGCCCTGTGCTAAGCATTTTACTTGTGTTAGCTCATTTAGTCCTCATAGCAATTCAGTGAGGTGGGGCTTATGTTCACTATCTGGGAATTTCACAGGCTGGCCCCTCTCACAGGAGTTTCATCATGTAAGGCCTGCGTACATATATGCATGAGAAAGCATGTCTTGCACACGAATTGGTTTTCCTAAACCCTCCCTCATCTTTGAGCAATGCAGCCAACTTTGTTTTTAAAGTGCAGCCCACTTCTGAGTAAGCATGGCAGATTGCTCACTTCCCCCTTCCAAAACTCCACTGAAATGGCAATAAAGGAATCAAGAATATATAAACTCATAAGGAGATAAAATGAGGGAAGAGATGAACATGGATGAGAGAGTCCCACAAATATCTGGAAAAGGGAGAGGAGCAGGAGCTGACATGGCAGAGCTGGGGATCACTACCTGGCTCCCTGCAGATGAGGAAACTAATAAGCAGAAGCGGGGTGGTCTTGTAGAACTCTAGGTGCTGAGGACGGGGAGATCCAAATCTACAGAAGGTGGACATGAGGCATGGGACTAAAAACAGGGGGGCTACGTGGCCTGTATAGGGGGAGGATGGACCCCCTTCCTCCTCCTACAGCAGGTGCACCCCAGCTCTCTCCTACACCCATTGCTTGCCTCCCCACCCCCACTGCCAGTAGGAGATTTGACACATTGTCTCTGGATAACTGAATGGCTCCAGAGAAAAGACCTCCACATTCTGACATCTTGGAGTCCTGCCCCAATTTGAAAGCCAGTTTGGGCTGGGCGCAGTGGCTCACCCCTGTAATCCCAGCACTTTGGGAGGCCAAGGCAGGTGGATCACCTGAGGTCAGCTTTACCAACCAGCTTTACCAACATGGTGAAGCCCCATTTCTACCAAAAAAAAAAAAAAAAGAACCAAAATTAGCCAGGCCTGGTGGCACCTGCTTGTAATCCCAGCTACTCAGGAGGCTGAGGCAGGAGAATCACTTCAACCGGGGAGGCAGAGGTTGCAGTGAGCCGAGATTGCACCATTGCATTCCAGCCTGGGCAACAAGAGCAAAATCCCATAAAAAGAAAGAAAGAAAGAATGAAAGAAAGAAAGAAGGAAGGAAGGAGAAAGAGAGAAAGAAAAGAAAGAAGAAAGAAGGAAGGAAAGAAAGAAAGAAAAAGAAAAGAAAGAAGCCAGTTTGCTATCCAATGACCTTGTTGTAAGTCCTTCTATGGACAAGCCTCACCCACTCACTCAGAGTTCCCACTCCTGTGTTTAGTGAGTCACACTTAGACAAGAACAGGCAGCCCAGGATCACCTAATGTTTAAAGACAGCCTCCAGCTTGGAAGAGACGGATCCAGACAAATAGGATAAAGGAATTTGGAGAAAGCAGAGACGATGGAAGGAGTAGAAAAAAAATGAAAAAAAAATCTGATAATTTCTTCAGAAAAGTAAAGTAAGATGTTATATCCATTAAACAAGAGTTAGATGCTTTATTCTCTATTTTGGATGTTACTTTTAAAGGAATTAATGAAAAAACAAAAATGAAATTTTGGAAATTGTTCAAAAGAAGAGTAAGAATAAAATATTTAAAAGCAAGTTTGGTGGAAGATAAAGTAGAACAAAAATAAACAGAGATTTAAAAATAATAATAATTGAAAAAATATAAGAATGAGGACCACTCTAGGAAGTCCAATTTCCAGCTAATAGAAATTCTATAAAGAGAAAATAGAGGAGAGAGAGTGAGAGTAAAAATAATACCACTTCACAAAATTGAAAGATGTGAGTCTCCAGATTGAGAGGCCCAACTAAATGCCCACCCCAAGGTGCATCATCACAAATTTCAGAATACCCAGAATAAAGAATAGACTTCTAAAGCTCCCTGAGAGAGAAAAACATACGAAAGATCAGGTATCAGCCTTGGACTTCTAAATAGCCACACTGAAAGAAAACAATGCCTTCAAGCTTCTGTGTGAAAATGATTTTCAGCTGAGAATACTTGTAACCAGATGATCAATGAAATAGGAAGGTGGAATAAAAGCATCTCAGACATGCAAGGAGTCAAATTTTACCTCACATGTATGTCCTCTCTTAAGTGGCTACTGCAGGATGTGCACCCACAAAATGAGAAAGTAAACTAAAAAAAATAATGTGGAACTAGAAGTCATGGGATTCAATGCTGAACAGCATTGAAGAGAAATGCCAGGATGATAGTGGATAGAGAGCTACCAGTCCAGAGGGGAGCAGGATGGCAGGCACCAGGAGTGAGGCACCCAAGGAATCAAAGAAAATGACACATTTGAGGATACGGAAAATAGTATCCAGAAACATGAAAGCACTTGGGGAAAAAATGAGCAATTGCCACATAGAATAATAGGCAAATGACAAACAAAAAGTAATGATAAATTCCAGGAATAAATGAAGAGTATGGCTCATGCAAAGGGCCTAAAGTAGAAGTGAGCCTAATGCATTCAGGGACTAACAAGAAGAGTGGGGCTGCGGCAGAACTGGAGAGGGGCAGGAGACTAGGCAGTGAGGTCAGAGAGACAAGAAGGGTCAGGACATTGTGAGGACTCGGGCATTGACTGTAAGCAAGATGGGAGCTGCTGCAGTGTTTTGTGCCGAAGAGTGACATGATCTGACTTACATGTTGGCAGAATAATTCTGCCTATGTGTTGAGAATAAATGGTAGGAGGGACTAGGTGGAAGTAGGATGCTATTGCAGTCAGAAGGCCACTGCAGTGATCCAGGGGAAAGACCATACTGATGGCCCCATTGGATGATGGTGGCTTGGACCAGGGTGGAAGCATTGGAGGTGGTGAGAAGTGATTGGATTCTGGATATTTTGAAGGCAGAGCCAAATATTCCTTGACATACAGAATGCGAGGTATGAAAGAAAGAGAGAAATCAAAGATGGCCTGAGCAGCTGGAGGGATGAAGCTGCAGTCAAATGAGATGAGGAGACCACAGTTGGAACAATGTTCCCATCACCTGTTACTGAACCAACGTCAATTTACAGACATAAAACAACAATCATTGATTATTATCAGCTCTGGTGACCCTGGCAGTTGACTGGGCTCAGATAGGCAGGTCTCACTCGGTGGTTGGGGCTAGAGTCATCTCAAAGGCCTCCTCGCTCACATGTCTGGTGCGTCTACTAGAAGACACTTAGAGCTCAAGGATGGACTAGGAGGGGCTCCTTGGGCCTCTCTCTACGTGGTCTCTGCACATGATCTCTCCAGCATGGTGGCTGGTGGCTTCCTGCATGGTAGTCCAGGGCTCCAAAGGCTCAGGTCCTAAAATGAGAGGGAAGTTGTATCGTGCTGTGAGACCTGCGTCAGAAGCAACACAGCGTCACTTCAGCGGCACTGTGTTCCTTAGAGTTCAGCCACCATGTGCAAGGCGGGAGGGAATCAGATTCCCTGTCTTGATGAGAGGAGAGTCCGAGAATCTGCAGATATGTTTTAAAACCACCTCTGCAGGTTTTGGGGAGACCGTAAGAGTTGAGGAACATTTTGAGTTGAATATTATTTGCATAGTGATTAAAATAAAAACACTATCAATTTAACCAAAGTTGTGATATGACCACATTGTGGGAGGACTGAGCAGAGGAAGTGATGGGGTCACAGTGGGACAGGGCCCAGTTCCCAGCCCCCACAGTGGGAAATCAATGGGCACCTACAAAGAAAGGATCAAGAAAGAAGAGTAGGACAATGTCAGAAATCTGGGGAGAAATACAAAGCGAAATACATAGAAGAGATAAGGATGGTTCCTTCCCAGGAGTAAGACGGGGTGAGCGGGATGGTGGGGGAAGGGGGTTAGTGTTTTTCTTTCTTTCTTCTTTCTTGCTTTCTTTTCTTTCTTTCTCTCTTTCTTTCTCTCTCCTTCCTTCCTTCCTTCTTTCTTTCTTTTTTATTTCTTTCTCTTTCTTCTTTCTTTCTTTCTTTCCTTTCTCTCTTTCTCTCTCCTTCCTTCTTTCTTTCTTTTTTCTCTTTCTTTTCTTTCTTTGTTCTTTCTCTCTCTTTTTCTTTCTCTTTCTTTCTTTTCTTTCTTTCTTTCTCTCTCTCTTTCTTCCCTCCCTGCCTCCCTCCCTCTCTCTCTCTCTCTTTCTTTCTTTCTCTTCTTTTTTTTTTGACAGAGTCTCGCTCTGTTGCCCAGGCTGGAATGCAGTGGCACGACCTAGGCTCACTGCAACCTCCGTCTCCCAGGTTCAAGCTATTTTCCTGCCTCAGCCTCCCGAGTAGCTGGGACTACAGGCACCCCCCACCACGCTCAGCTAATTTTTGTATTTTTAGTAGACGTGGGGGTTTCACCATATTGGCCAGGCTGGTCTCGAACTCCTGACCTTGTGATCCGCCCGCCTTGGCCTCCCAAAGTGCTGGGATTACAGGCATCAGCCACCGCACCCAGCCAGTGTTTTTCAATATGGCTTTTAGTACCATTTGACTTTTTTTTTTTTTTTGAGACGGGGTCTCACTCTGTTGCCCAGGCTGGAGTGCAGTAGTGCAATCTCAGCTCTCTGCAACTTCCACCTCCAGGGTTCAAGCGATTGTCATGCCTCCGTCTCCTGAGTAGCTGGGACCACAGGCCCACGCCACCACGCCCGGCTAATTTTTGTGTTTTCAGTAGAGATGGTGTTTCACCCTGCTGGCCAGGCTGGTCTCCAACTCCTGACCTCAGGTGATCCTCCCCTCTCAGCTTCCCAAAGTGCTGGGATTACAGGCATGAGCCACTGTCCCTGGCCTCCATTTGACTTTTTAATTTGTGTACATGTATTACTTGGTAAAATAACTGTTTTAAAAGGATGTAAATTTCATTTCTATAAAATTGATGTTAAAAATGATAGAATAGTGCTCACTTCAGCAGCACATATGCTAGAATTGGAATGATGCCGAGATTAGCACAGCCCCTGAGCAAAGGTGATACGTGAATTCATGAAGTGTTCCATATATCTTTTATGTAAAAAAAAAAAGTTTTTTTTAACTCAAAATTTTTAAAAATGAGAGAAAAAAAATGCCCCCAGTCTGGGCAACATAGTGAGATCCCATCTCTAAAAAATAAAAATTAGGCCGGGCGCCGGGGCTCACGCCTGTAATCCCGGCACTTTGGGAGGCCGAGGCGGGTGGATCACGAGGTCAGGAGATCGAGACCATCCTGGCCAACACAGTGGAACCCCATCTCTAGTGAAAAAAAATACAAAAAATTAGCCGGGTGTGGTGGGGGGGTGCCTGTAGTCCCAGCTACTCAGGAGGCTGAGGCAGGAGAATGGCGTGAACCCGGGAGGCATAGCTTGCAGTGAGACTGTGCCACTGCACTCCAGCCTGGGTGACAGAGCGAGACTCTGTCTCAAAATAAATAAATAAATAAATAAAAATAAATAATTTGCTGGGCATGGTGGTGAGCATCTGTAATCCCAGCTACTCTGGAGGCTACAGTGAGAGGATTGCTTGAGACCAGGAGTTCGAGGCTGCAGTGAGCTGTGATTGAACCACTGCTCTCCAGTCTGGGCTACAGAACTAGACCTTGTCTGTTAAAAAATAAAAATTAAGGCCAGGCGTGGTGGCTCACGCCTGTAATCCCAGCACTTTGGGAGGCCGAGGCAGGTGGATTATCTGAGGTCAGGAGCTGAAGACCAGCCTATCCAACATGGTGACACCCCATCTCTACTAAAAATACAAAAAAATTAGCCGGGTTTGGTCGTGGGTGCCTGTAATCCCAGCTACTTGGGAGACCGAGGCAGGAGAATCACTTGAACCCGGGAGGCGGAGGTTGCAGTGAGCCTAGGTTGTGCCATTGCACTCCAGCCTGGGTGACATGAGCAAAACTCCATCTCAAAAAAAAAAAAAAAACCCACAAAAATTTAAAAAGTTAAAAAATAAAAAATAGCCCCATCCCTATAGCAAACGCAATTTTTGTGTGTCTGTGTGTGTGACGGAGTTTTGCTCTTGTCACCCAGGCTGTAGTGCAATGGCGCGATCTCACCTCACTGCAACCTCTGCCTTCTGGGTTCAAGAGATTCTCCTGCCTCAGCCTCCTGAGTAGCTGGGATTATAGGCATGTGCCACCACGCCCGGCTAATTTTTTTGCATTTTTAGTCAAGACGGGGTTTCACCATGTTGGCCAGGCTGGTCTCAAACTCCTGACCTCAGGTGAGCCACCGCCTCGGCCTCCCAAAGTGCTGGGATTACAGGCGTGAGCCAACGCGCCCGGCCTGGCAAGTACAATTTTAGGAAATACTCCAGCCCAGTCCCCTTTCCCCTCTGTGCCTTCTCCTTGGTGTCTCTGGCTCCAAAGAGTGCTCGGATTCACACGATCAGTTCACCTTGTGGATCTCCCACCAAGGACCACTGCAGCTCCCCGAGTCTCAGGTGCTCAGTAACCCCCTCCCCGATCCTCCCGGTCTCATGCCCATTGCAAAGGAGCAAACTGGCTCTGTGAGTTCCCGTGTTCATCAAAAGTGGAGTGCAGACTACAAGCCAGACCTCCTGGCTTAGGTTTAATGGTGTCTCCAGGATAAAAATGGTGGTTGCTGTCACTGTAGATGATCCGGCAGGTGGCATGGGGGACAGATGAGGGGGGCAACGTTCCTGGAAGGGAAGTCCATCCCTCTAAATTAAGTGTGTTAATTTTCCCGAATAAAGATACGCCTATCATGAAATCCATTGCCTGGAAAAGATACTTGATACAGCAACTGTGATGGCCCCTGGCTGAAAATACTCCATTTCCCCTTAGTCACCCTTCTCAGGTCAGGGTAAGCCTGCTGGCTAAAGCAACAGAAAGAAGCAAACAGATCTGTGGAATGAAATTCCTTGGCTAACAGGAAAACTGCAGTGAGGGGAGTAGGGGGCAGGGGACAAGGTTCTGAGCAGAACTTCGGGTTTTTCTCTTGCCCTTGGTGTGGTGGGGGTGGGGGACATGAATCTGGGATGTGGAGAATCAGTCCGGAGTAGGGGGTGGGCCTGATAGAGCAGATGAGAAACTCAGCCCGGGAGGCAACGTTATTGTCATCATTGTTAACCCTCTGCAGACCAGAAACCACCAGGACAGCCAACTAACGCTGATTATTATTATATTCATAATAACGCTTGTGTTTTGTCAAAGCCCTTATTCGAGTGCTGTAAGTGGCCTGGAAGGTGATGTTCCCCAAATTTGCCAACATGCAATGCAATGGTAACCATGATGGTTGGAGTGGTTTTCACAGGTGGGCAAAACAACTCTGCCATGGTCAGGTGAACAGAACCCCTGAGACCTGGGATGGCAGAGGGGACAGACATGAACAGAATCCGTCTCTGCCCTGAGGCTGCTCACGTCGAACCCACAGCCCAGAGTGGCCGAGGTGCCTGTATTTTCCTCAGCAGCAGGAGCCGTGGTTTGCGCTGTGGCTCTGCCACGTGCCGCGTGGTTAATCCAGTTTGCTTCACTGCACCAGGGTGGAATCTGAGTGTCTTAATAACTGAAAGGTGCTGCCCTGTTGAACATTCTGTGGGTTCCAAAGCGAGTGGAGCGGGAGGCATGGTTGGCTTCTTCCTCGCTGGCCTCGTTTTTTGACAAACAACGGCAGGTTCCCCGCGGGGTCTCTGGCCCAGCTTCTCAGCACGTCTCTGTTCTAACTGAATTTGATTTTCTTTTTTTTTTTCAGTCTCGTGCTAGTGACGGAGGGGAATGAGACTGTGATCTCCCTCATGACACTAATTAATATCCTTCATCCAAGGTGGTGACACTGTACTTTGGGGCTGAAGTCTGAAACTTAACCAATGGCAGTTCTGGTCCAGCCTGGAGATGCTAAGTGACAGCTTGTTACCTTCAGCTTCATTTATTAACATCAGCTGAATAAACAAATCCCGGTAGGAGCAGAGCCCCGCTGCCCAGGAACCCCTCCCACTGGTTCTCAAAACTCTCTGGTGATTGGAATTGAAGCCATCTTGAGTAAGAAGGTCCCACTGGAAAGAAATTCAATGGCACCTGATTAATTCTGAAAGTAAGCACTTAACCTTGAGGAGCTTGGGCTGAACCACTCATTCTTTCATTCCATTCCTCCTGTATTTACTTGGCACCAAACAACCTGTCGACTCCACAGTACAAGCCATCCATTAAGAAATACTGATGGAGGCCAGGTGCGGCGGTTCACGCCTATAATCCTAGCACTTTGGGAGGCCAAGGCGGGCGGATCACGAGGTCAGGAGATTGAGAGCATCCTGGCTAACAGGTGAAACCCTGTCTCTACTAAAAATACAAAAAAGTTAGCTGGGCGTGGTGGCGGGCACCTGTAGTCCCAGCTACTTGGGAGGCTGAGGCAGGAGAATGGTGTGAACCCGGGAGGCGGAGCTTGCCGATCTCAGTGAGCTGAGATCGCACCACTGCACTCCAGCCTGGTCGACAGAGTGAGACTCCGTCTCAAAAAAAAAAAAAAAAAAAAAAAGTACTGCTGGAGCACCTGCTAGATCCAGTAGGGAAGCAGGCGCATGCTCTGCCCTCAGGGAGCTTATAGTCTAGTGATAAAACAGGAGCTGTGAGTGACAGGATGAAGTTCACGGTGCCCCGGGAACAGAGATGATGGTGGGATGTTGATGAAGCCTCACCAAGGAAATGGTGTTTAGACAATGAGACAATGTAGCTGACCTAAGAAACCAGGTCTGCTCATTTCTGCTGCCAGCGTAATTTCACAAAGCCCCTCGTTCTGTTACCACATACAGCTCTTCGAAAAGAAGCTGTGAAGGCAAAAGAGGACAGAGCACACGGCCAGGGGAGGTGGTCCCCAGTGCTCCGCTAAGAAACTGCTTATCCCAAGGACAACAGGAATCCAGTCACTGGAGGTGGTGACATGATCAGATGTGCATTTTAAGATCATTCTAGTTCCAATATGGACAATGGATTAGAGAAGGACAAGAGTGAGGCCTGGAAACCAGTTTTAGGAGGTAGTTGTTCTAATCCAAGTGAGAAGTGACATGAGCTAGGTCAGGTTACAGGCAGAGTGGGTGGAGAGAGCTGGGATAGAGAGATACAGAAATCTTTTATTTATTTATTTTTTTGAGACAGGGTCTCACTTTGTTACCCAGGCTGGAGTGCAATGGGCAATTACAGCTCACTGCAGCCTTGCCCTCCCGGGCTGAAGCAATCCTTCTGCCTCAGCCTCCAGAGTAGCTAGGACTACAGGTGCATACCACTATGCTTGGCTAATTTTTAAACTTTTTATAGAGATGGGGGGGGTCTCACTATGTTGCCCAGGCTGGTCTTGAACTCCTGGACTCAAGCAATCCTCCCAGCTTGGCCTCCCAAATTGCTGAGATTACAGATGTGAGTCACTGTGCCCAGCCCAGAAATCTTTCTAATATAGAAAAAGTTATTGGCTGGGTGTGGTGGCTCACGCCTACAATCCCAACACTTTGGGAGGCTGAGGCAGGCGGATCACTTGAGGTCAGGAGTTTGAGACCAGCTTGGCCAACATGGTGAAACCCCGTCTCTACAGAAAATACAAAAATTAGCTGGGCGTGGTGGTGCACACCTGTAATCCCAGCTACTTGGGAGGCCGAGGCAGGAGAACCGCTTGAAACCAGGAGGAAGAGGCTGAGAGCCGAGATCATGCCACTGCACTCCAGCCTGGGCAATGGGAGTGAGACTCTGACACACACACACATGCGCGCACACACACACACGTTCTTAAAAATCAAGTGAAAAAGCCAGACACAGTGGCTCACGCCTGTAATCCCAGCACTTTGGGAGGCCAAGGCGGGTGGATCACCTGAGGTCGGGAGTTCGAGACCAGCCTGGCCAACATGGAGAAACCCCGTCTCTACCAAAAAAGTACCAAAATTAGCCGGGTGTGGTGGCGCATGCCTGTAATCCCAGCTACTCAGGAGGCTGAGGCAGGAGAATTGCTTGAACCCGGGAGGTGGAGGTTGCGGTGAGCTAAGATCGTGCCATTGCACTCCAGCCTGGGTGACGAGAGCGAAACTTTGTCTTAAAAGAAAAAATCAAGTGAAAAAATAGAAAAATGAATAAAGACAGAAGAGTTCTTAGAACAAGATATACAAGTCTCCTGTAAACATGAAAATATGCTCATCTTCACTCATAAGAGAAATTCACATTTAAACTACACTGAAACCATCTGTCTCCTAAAAATTCAAAAACCTGACAGCACTCGCTGTTGGGGAAAAGCAAGCATTCTCATGTGTCTGGTGAGACTGCAAAACAGAGGAGATTTGGGCAATGTCTAACAAAATATGCATTTACCCTTGAACCCAGCAATCTCAATCCTGGGAACTAACCCTGAAGATCCACCCTCACAAATGCAAAACAGCATACACCCAAGGCTGCTCACCGCAGTCCTGTTTGTAATAGCAAAATACTGGAAAAAAACCCAAGATATCCCTGCCTCGGAGATGGGCTGAACAAGTGATCAGCTAGCACAGTGGAGGGCTATACAGGCATTTTTTTTTTTGAGATGGAGTCTTGCTCTGTTGCCCAGGCTGGAGTGCAATGGTGCTATCTCGGCTCACTGCAACCTTCGCCTCCAGGGTTCAAGCGACTCTCCTGTCTCAGCCTCCCAAGTAGCTGGGATTACAGGCGCACACTGCCACACCCAGCTAATTTTTTGTATTTTAGTAGAGACGGGGTTTCACCGTGTTACCCAGAGTGGTTTCGAACTCCTGAGCTCAGTTAATCCACCCACCTCGGCCTCCCAAAGTGCTAAGATTACAGGCATCATGAGCCACCGTGCCTGGCCTATGCAGGGCTTTTTTAAAGAGGAGGAGGATCAGCCGGGCGCAGTGGCTCACACCTGTAATCCCAGCACTTCCCTGGGAGGCCAAGGCAGGCGGATCATCTGAGGTCAGGAGTTCGAGACCAGCCTGGCCAACATGGTGAAACCCCGTCTCTATCAAAAATACAAAAATTAGCCAGGCGTGGTGGCGGGTGTCTGTGGTCCCAGCTACTTGGGAGGCTGAGGCAGGAGAATCGCTTGAACCTAAGAGGTGGAGGTTGCAGTGAGCTGAGATTGCACCACTGCACTCCAGAGCAAGTCTCCATCTCAAAAAAAGAAAAAGAAAAAGAAAAAAAGGACGAGAAGGATCTCTGTGAAATGATAGATATATACCTGCTTATTGTTGTGGAAGGAAGGTAAAAAGAAAAGGAGGAAGGGAGAAGACAGGCAAGGAGGAGAAAACAGAGACTAAGGGTGGGAACAGATGGAGGAATGGGAATGGGAATATACCTTTTTGTAGAGTTTTGACTTTTGACCTAGGTGAAGTATTTACATAGTCAAAAAAAGAAAATAAAAATGATGGAAACAAACCTTTAATTGAATACAAACAGAATCAAGTCAACCTCATGCATATCAAATTCATAACATGGTTTCCAAGAGAAAATAATTCAAGTAACTTTTATTTCTTTTTTTTTTTTTTTGAAACAGGGTCTCACTCTGTCACTTCGTGTGCTGGAGTGCAGTGGCGTGGTCTTGGCTCACTGCAACCTCCGCCTCCCAGGTCCTGGTTCAAGCAATTCTCCTGCCTCAGCCTCCCTAGTAGCTGGGATTACAGGCATGTACCACCATGCCCGGCTAATTTTTGTATTTTTAGTAGAGACAGGGTTTCGCTATGTTGGCCAGGCTGGTCTTGAACTCCTGGCCTCAAGTGATCCGCCTGCCTCGGCCTCCCAGAGTGCTGGGATTACAGGCGTGAGCCACCGTGCCCAGCCTCAAGTAACTTTTGAATCCAGCACCCTGTGCACCCTTAGGGAATATACCCAAAGGTGGGGAAAGGGGCTGAAGGGAAATCCCAAACCTTACTTGGTGGGTTTGTTGTTGGCAGTGACATCAGTTTAAGAATTCGGAAACTACTGTTTCAGAATTTGGACATTGCGGTACAGAAGAAATCCGTAAGTGTATTGAAATTGTTGGGAATCAGGATGGTTTGAAAAAAGGAAAAATAGGGACTAATGTACAGATGAGGCCTGTGGTGCTGAATTGAAGCTGGAGGTTTCAGTATACTTGCAGGCTCTTCTAAAACATCTTAGCTCTGTTCACTGCAAGGGCCTAGAAGCAGGACACCCAGCAAAACCGGCACACCAAGTCCCTGGACCTTCATTGGGAAATAAAAATTCTCCACCACAAGAGACCAGGATCTGAATAAATGACTGATTCCACAGTTGGGGCAAGGAAAGTAAAAGGTCAGTCTGGAGCGCCTTGTGCCAGAAAGCAAGAATGTGCCCAAAGGCCGGGCACGGTGGCTCACGCCTGTAATCCCAGCACTTTGGGAGGCCGAGGTGGGCAGATCACCTGAGGTCAGGAGTTCAAGACCAGCCTGGCCAACATGGTGAAACCCCGTCTCTACTAAAAATATAAAAATTAGCCAGGCGTGGTGGCTTATGCCTGTAGTTCCAGCTACTCAGGAGGCTGAGGCACGAGAATCGCTTGAACCTGGGAGGTGGAGGTTGTAGTGAGCTGAGATCACGCCACTGCACTCCAGCCTGGGCAACAGAGTGAGACTCTGTCTCAAAAAAGTAAAAGAAAATAAAATGCTCAAAGAACCATGGGAATATGGCAAAAAGACACAAGAGCTGTCTTCTCCCTCTGAACAGTTTGAGCATCAAAAAAAATTATAACAGTAAGCGATTACAACACATTGAATTAAAAAAAAAAATCCATGGGCCTCCAGGAACACTCAAAAACTGAGTTGGAGGGAGGGAAAGACTTTCTTTACAGAAGAATGCCAGCCAGTAAACATCAAAGAAATATATGTTTTTTTTTTTTTTGAGATGGAGTCTCGCTCTGTCGCCCAGGCTGGAGTGCAGTGGCACGATCTCCGCTCACTGCAAGCTCCTCCCGGGTTCACGCCATTCTCCTGCCTCAGCCTCCTGAGTAGCTGGGACTACAGGCGCCCGCCACCACGCCCAGCTAATTTTTTGTATTTTTAGTAGAGACGGGGGTTTCACCGTACTAGCCAGGATGGTCTCGATCCCCTGACCTCGTGATTCGTCTGCCTCGGCCTCCCAAAGTGCTGGGATTACAGGCGTGAGCCACCGCGCCCGGCCAGAAATACAATTTTTTGAGACAGAGTTTCACTCTTGTTGCCCAGGCTGGAGTGCAATGGCTCAATCTCGGCTCACTGCAACCTCAACCAAATTGAGGTAAAACACTCAATTTGGACATCCACAGACTCCCCAAAGTCCTGGGCTATGAACCCTAATGTAGAAGAAGGAGCATAGAGCTTAGGTCACAGCACATAGGAGCAACAAGCCGAGGAGAGGAGGCTCTAATGAACAGAGGAGGGAAAGCAACAGCCAGAGAGGAGGGCAAGCCAGGAAGAGCCTCGGCAGCACAAATGCCACTCAGTCTGCAAACCAGATAAGGACGCTTGCACTGGGAGTGATTAAAACTCAGATCCCCGGCCGGGCGCAGTGGCTCATGCCTGTAATCCCAGCACTTTGGGAGGCCAAGGCAGGCGGATCACTTGAGGTCAGGAGTTCGAGACCAGCCTGACCAACATGGTGAAACCCCGTCTGTACTAAAAATACAAAAATTAGCCTGGCATGGTGGCGGGCGCCTGTACATCCAGCTACACAGGAGGCTGAGGCACGAGAATCGCTTGAACCTGGGAGGTGGAGGTTGCAGTGAGCCAAGATTGTGCCACTGCACTCCAGCCTGGGTGACAGAGTGAGACTCCGTCTCAAAAAAAACAAAAACAAACAAAAAATCAGAACCCTAAAGATCGATTTTATATCCACCTACGTGACAGTAAGAAAGCTGGATCAACTTCAGGAATGAAGGTGGACAGTCAAGACCTACGGTAACACTGTCTGGTGTCTCTCTGGTGCCACCACCCACATCACCTGCCTCTGGTTCAGGGCCCCTTCCCAGCTTGTCATCCCACCTACCTGGACCTTGTCCCTCCAGTGAAGGCTGCCCGGATGCCTCAGAGAGCACAGCCTTCTTAGCTTCATTCTTCCGGAGTGCTTTTCCTTATTTGGTGCTTTCTAGGGAGTAGGCAGGTCAGGTCTTAGGGATTTTTCTTTCTTTCTTTCTTTCTTTTTTGAGACAGGGTCTCACTCTATCTCCAGGCAGTGGCACAACCATCGCTCACTGATGCCTTGACCTCCCAGGCTCAAGCCATCCTCCCGCCTTGGCCTTCCAAGTAATGGGGACTACAAGCATGTGTCACTACACCTGGCTAATTTTAAAACTTTCTGTAGAGACAGAGTCTCACTCTGTTGCCCAGGCTGGTCTCAAACTCCAGAGCTCAAATATTTGTCCTGTCTCGGCCTCCCAAAGTGCTAGGACTACAGGCATGAGCCACCGCGCCCAGCCTAGGAATTTTTAAGGTGTTCTTTCAAAAGACTATGAGGGCTGTTTGGTATCAAAGCAAGTCCAAGAACCAAGAGATAAGAGATCAAAAGCTCTAAAAGCAAACCCAATCCAAGCTTTAAAAGTGAGAGAGATAAGATGGCTCAGAAATAATCATACTGGGTCCATTTATCAGGTGGTTGGGAGAGCACAGCTAACAGAGGGAGAAAAAATAAATCAAGTGGGCCACGTCCACAGGCGTAATCAACTCATCAGAATGAGTTGGTCACCTGTCACCAGCTAGAAAAACCCAAGCCAGAGTTGGTTCTGCTGGACTGGTAAGATGTCCCACCCCAAACTGACCAACTGAATCAGCATTTCTAGTCTTCTGTGCAATTGCCTGCAGTCGTATAGACCCGGTCATGATGGCAGAGAATAAAATCTTCTCTCACACCGGTCTCCAGTTACAGAGTTCTGATCACTGCAACCGGGAAAGCTGAGAACTCTTCATCATCTAGCACATTTGCGAAATTCATTGGCTTTAACAAACTGTTCCCCAAACACCTGGCCTGTGCGGTCTCCTCTCACCAGCATGTGCTCTGTCATATTCAGAAAGTGCTTATAGGCTCTCGCTTGCCTTGAAAAATATCCATCAGCTATCAGAAAAGCTAAAACCCATCGTGGCTCTGGTGAAACGTTCACTTCAGGGAAACACACAAGCCAATTTGGTCCGACTTAATAAGTTTAACAAAATCCAGGTGAAGGAATCTATCTGGAAAAACAGAAGACTCTTATGAGCAGCTCCAAGAAATAATTCTCTCGGGAAAGGGGAAAAAAGATGTGAATTCCTCCATACCAGGGTAGAAAGCAAGATGAAATTGGGTCTCACAAATGGGGAACATTCACGTAACCCCGACCTAAAACGGTGGTTTCCAAATATCTTAGGATTGTGAGACCTTCCTGGATTTTCTTCTCATGCTTTGTCTTAGAGGTAAAATCATGTTTGAAACTCACAAACTGTCTTATGATCTCTCACCCCCCACCCCCAACAAAGACCACAGACAAGAACATCATGGAACCAACTTTAAAAACTCGAGTCTGTCTCATTCTGAATGTGAGACATGAGGGACACCATTCCTAAAGTTTAAAAGAAATTGTTCTGCATTCTGGCAGGATCTGCTCTGTTTCATGCGCAGAGCGTACGGCCATGTCTGCAACTCGGGAGAGCTCCATTTAACGTGTGCGAGGACTCAGTAACATATAGCCATGCTTTTTACAGAGCCCTTGTGTTCCCAGATTGGCTTCAGGTTTGAAACCCTAACCTTCAGTTATGTGTCCTGTTAATAATAGGTCTCACCTCCCCAAGCGTACAAGAGACGAGAGAGCTAGCAAGGGAATGGTTTCCAGAGTGGGAGAATCCGAGAGAGAGGGCAAGACTGCAGCCTGGACCAACCAATCCATGGAGAATACTGCTCACCCACCTGCAGGCTCTGCCATGTTCCTCCTGACACCCCCAGGGATCTCCTGCCCACCCCCCAATATACCACCCAAGGGACACGTGGGACCCCACAAAGGCACACAGGCACTGGTGTTGAGAGCCGGCTGCATGAGGTGAAGACACAGATCCGCTCCTTAAAGGGAAGGTTTAGAAGTGCATGGCTAAAATCCAACCCAATTATACAATGATTCTTGGCTGAGAATAAGCTAATGGCTGGAGCTCTATAGAATCTCAAGATTTTTCTATGAAAGTCCTACCACCAAACAGCTGTGAAAATAAACCAACGTTCCTTGATGGGCTTCCTCCAAGTGCGGGACCACCCCAAACCCTGCTGTCTTGGGCCACTGTTTATCACAAACACTGCGGTCTACATCCAGAGGACGGATCTCAAGGGGAACTTTCTGTTGACGCTCCTTCCACAACATGGAGATGGGAGACAGGCACACTCAGAGATGATCAGAGATGACAGCAAATGCCATCTTCAGCTTTCCAGGCCAGTGATTTAAGTGCAGGAACAGGGGTGGAATGTAGTGGATATTCACTTGGAAGGTGTGCAAAGTCTCTTATTCACAGAACTCCCATCTCCTAAACAGAAATGACAAACCCCAAGCAAAATTCAACACATCTTTTTTATGTATAAATGGGTCAGTGGTACAGAGGGAGTTACTTTTTATAAATATCTGCAGCAAATCCCCTAAAAAAGATGTGAATAAAAACTCTCTCTCAGCACAAAGGGCCTATTCCTTCCCCAAAAGTGTTAAATTCCCGAGAGCCTGTGCTTAGCCAAACACTTGTGGGGCCTCCTGGGAAGAACAGGAGGACTTTGGGACCGAGAGGAGAGCCTTCCCATCTCCCCGGAGAGCGGAGGTGACTTGAAGGTCATCTGTTGCCCAGGACTTGGGAGTGATTAAACTGTTTCTTCCCAAGACTTGAGGTCTTCTTTGTCAAGCTGCTGATTAAGCGGTCTCTCTGTTTCCTGGCAGTGGCCCAGAGGGAGGGAGGAGAGGAACCTACAATCGCGTGAGGAAGTAAAAAACTCTGGGTATTTTGATAAAAAAAAACACTTGGTAATCACTGTAACCCTGTAAAGCCGATGTATCGAATTCACCAGAGGGAAAATTGTAGATTAGCATTCTGGAAGCTATAAACACAAGCATTTCTTTAGGAAGATCATTACTTAGCACCAATGTCTCTCTCTCTCTCATAATTTTTCCTTTTCCTCCAAGCCCTTGGCTGTGATCAGTGCTGTCGGACCACAGCTCAGCAGTACTTTTAATCAGTAACACAGCTGGGCTCGAAGGGGAGTGCCGTCACATGCCACAGAACAAACAGCGCGCTCACACCAAACGGCAAGGCTCCTGGGGGCATCCTGGCTGGGGAATCGCAAGCGGACCCCCGGCCTCTTCCTGGGGCTGCTCTTTGGCAATCCAGGCTCAGGGGCTTTACTCGAAGCGACGCAGGTGGTTGTACAGCGACTGGACGTAGGTGAAGACACACATGGGGTCCGGCTTGCGGCCCATCACCATCATGTCCTCCACTTCGATGAGGCGCTCACAGTTGGCCAGATTCCTGAAACACACAAGCCCCGTCAGAACGGTGGTCCCAGCCATCAGCCAGCCCCACAGCCGCGACAGGGCCGGTGTCTCGGTCCCGGGAACAGAGCTCAGCCGGCAGCCAGAGGTTCCCAAGGACCCACCAGCGGGGAATTCAGATAACCCTGGCAGAACCCTTGGAGTCACTGACTCCAATACAATGTTTCCCAAACTCCCAGATTTATGAGCCACCTGTACAATTCATGTTTTCATTTAAACAGACTTACTTTATTTAATTTGGGTTTTTTTTTTAGAGACAGGGGCTTGCTCTGTTGCCCAGGCATGAGTACAGAGGCACGATCCTAGCTTATTGCAGCCTCGATCTCCTAGGCCCAAGTGATCCTCACGCCTTGTCTTCCCAAGTAGCTGTGATTCCAGGCACACACCACCATGCCCAGCTAGTTGTTTGTTTTTTTGTTTTGTTTTTGAGACAGAGTTTTGCTCTTGTTGCCCAGGCTGGAGCGCAGTGGCACAATCTTGGCTCACTGCAACCTCTGCCTCCCGGGTTCGAGTGATTCTCCTGTCTCAGCCTCCCGAGTAGCTGGGATTACAGGTGTCTGCCACCACGCCTGGCTAATTTTTTTTTTGTATTTTTAGTAGAGACAAGGTTTCACCATGTTGGCCAGGCTGGTCTCGATCTCCTGACCTCAGGTGATCCACCTGCCTTGGCCTCCCAAAGTGCTGTGATTACAGGCGTGAGACACCACGCCCGGCCCAGCTAGTTTTTTAAAAATAGTTTTGTAGAGATGGGGTCTCACTATGTTACCCAGACTGGTCTTGAACGCCTGCCTCAAGCGATCTTCCCACCTCAGCCTCCTGAGTAGCTGTGATTACAGGCACAGGCGACCCACAGTACCTGGCATATTGTATTTAAATTTGAAGTGAAACTATATTTAAGTTAAAAAAAAAAAAAGTAGGCTGGATGTGGTGGCTCACACCTGTAATCCCAGCACTTTGGGAGGCCGAGGCAGGCGGGTCACCTGAGGTCAGGAGTTCGAGACCAGCCTGACCAATATGGTGAAACCTTGTCTCTACTAAAAATACAAAAATTAGCCGGGCGTGGTGGCGTGTGCCTGTAGTCCCAGCTACTCGGGAGGCTGAGGCAGGAGAATTGCTTGAACCCAGGAGGCAGAGGTTGCAGTGAGCCGAGATCGTGCGATTGCACTCCAGCCTGGGGGCAGAGCAAGAAAGACTCCGTCTCAAAAAAAAAAAGAGATTGCTTAAACTCATTGCTGCCCCACCCCCAGCCCCCCAGGGCCCTCTGCCTCCTGCCCTGGGAAATACTGGTTTCACTTTTGGCTCACTGGTTTAGACTCGTGTGTACACTGTGGCCTTTCACTGGGGCTCAGAGGGAGGCTGAAGGCCTCGTGGACGTGGGAGGAGGAACGTCAACAGTCAAGACGCATCGCCCTGCTCATCTCAGCAGCGAGTCCTGAAATAACAACAGACAGCCTCTGGAATGCCCAGCCCTGCGCCCCCTGCCTCCTCTGACTCTGCTTACAGTATGCCTGGGTCCCCTGGGCACCAGATGGAGCCGGCCTGACATTATCAGGCAGAACCAAAAAGGCAAAAACGATCGCACTTGGCCCGATTGTCAGTGCCCTTCCTTCAGCAGCTGTGTGTACTTTTGTAGTTCCAGGGGTCTCCAGTCTATTTTTTTTCCCATCAATAAGCGCATGGCTGTCAGGGTTGAAATCCCAGCTCCATCTCTTCCGAGCTATATATCTGTGGGCAACACACTTCATTTCTCCGGGCTTCAGTTTCTCCATCTGTGAATTATATCCACCTCGAAAGAGTGGTATGAAAATTATAAACCCATGCAAATCAGGTGGAACAGCAAAGGGCACATTGAAAGAGCTAATAAATGTTAAAGATGAGGCCGGGCACAGTGGCTCATGCCTGTCATCCCAGCACTTTGGAAGGCCGAGGCAGGAGGATCACTTGAGCCTGGGAGTTTGAGACCAGCCTGGACAACACAGCAAAACCCCGTCTCTATAAAAAGTTTTAAAAATTAGCCAGGCATGGTGGTGTGCACCTGTAGTCGCAGCTACTCAAGGCTGAGGTGAGAGGATCGCTTGAGGCCAGGAGGTGGAGGCTCCAGTGAGCCCAGATTGCACCACTGCACTCCAGCCTGGGGTACAGAGCCAGACCCTGCCTCAAAAAAAAAAAAAAAAAAAAAAAAAACCAAACAAAAAAGTCAGAGATTATTCTTGTTGCCATTTTGACGATCATGCCTTGCTTTAAGAAGCAGGGTGGATCACAGAGAAGAGGCCTGAATGTGAGATCAAAACAGTAGAGTTCAAACCCCGACTCCTCCCATTGCTTCACTGTTCTGTGCCCATTTCCTTAGCACAAAATCGGAATACTGGCCGGGCACGGTGGCTCACACCTGTAATCCCGGCACTTTAGGAAGCCGAGGCGGGCAGATTGCCTGAGGCCAGGAGTTCCAAACCAGCCTGACCAACATGGTGAAACCCTGTCTCTACTAAAAACACAAAATTAGCCAGGCATGGTGGTGCACGCCTGAAATCCCAGCTACTTGGGAGACTGAGGCTGGAGAATCGCTTGAACCCAGGAGGTGGAGGTTGCAGTGAGCCGAGATCGTGCTACTGCACTCCAGCCTGCTGACAGAGCGAGACTCTGTCTCAAAAAAAAAGAAAAAAATCAGAATACCACCTCTGCTGTCCCTCCCAGTGGGCCTGTTGTGAGGCTGTGATTCCACAATGTGTCTTTATGCATCTTGTTCCCCAGAGAGCCCAGCCAGAGGGGAGACCCCAGCGAGCGAGCAAGACTCCTCTGACCCATCCCAGTTTGGCACGACGCACTCAGCACTTTCTACCAGGACTCACGCGGCTGTGTGCTCCAGAGACAAGACTGTAACATTACCCGCAGGCCCTGCTCTGCTGTGCTGGCTGGACGCCAGGCCTCCTACCAGAAACCAAATGTCAAGGCGAAATGGAGGCATCTGTCCTGGATCCCCTCCCCACCTCCTGCTTGGAGTTGTAGCGGGTGGCCTGTAAGTGAATCCAACAGGCTTTGTGGGGTGATGAGTGGGTTTGGCCCAATGAGCGGGCACCCTTTCTCCCTGGGACAGGCCAGGGCAGGGCTCGATGTCAGGGAAGCTGGCCCTCTGATGCGAGCAGGCGTGCAAAGGTGCTTTGTCGATGATAAAGCATTGAAAAATCTGAGTTCAGGCCGGGCGCGGTGGCTCATGCCTGTCATCCCAACATTTTAAGAGGCTGAGGTGGGCAGATCATTTGAGGTCAGGAGTTGGAGACCATCCTGGCTAACATGGTGAAACCCCGTCTCTACTAAAAATACAAAAATTAGCTGGGTGTGGTGGCGTATGCCTGCAGTCCCAGCTACTCGGGAGGCTGAGGCAGGAGAATCACTTGAACTCGGGAGGCGGAGGTTGCAGTGAGCCAAGATCATGCCACTGCACTCCAGCCTGGGCGACAGAGTGAGACTCTATCTCAAGGGGAAAAAAAAGGAAAGAAAAGAAAATCTGAGTTCAGAGAGGCTGGGGACCTGAGTTCACCTTCCTGAGCGATCATTTCATATCTGGTGCCCTCCTTTCCACCTGCCACACAGCTGGGGCACCTCCACTCCCACACCTGCTATTTGGAGGATCCCAGGTGTGTAGAAACAGGCTCCACACATGCTCTGGTTATCAGCACTGACGGCGGTGGCCTCAGTGGTGCCACATGTTAAGTAGGGACAGCATGAGGACTCTAGGACCTCCAACCATCCAAACACCCCCGTCAGAAGCACCAATCACCTCTATAAAGGCCCTGCCTCAGCTTGTTCATCTCAGGGTCCAGGGAAAGGGGACCCAATTTCCTCCAAGGACAGCTCAGAACCCTCTGCAGATGCTCTGACCACGAGAAAGTTCTTCTAACATTTCTTACGCTATTTGTGCCTGTGTGTACTTTCTACCTGCTGACCCCATAAGGCTACTTATTCTCAGTCTGATTTTTCCCCCATGTCAGAACCCTTCACACGCCAGAAGAAAACCTTCCTTCCATGTCTTTCTCTGAACTAAACAGCTCTGGTTCCTTAACTGTTCCCACAAAGGATACCCAGGACCCACCTCTCCGAACCAGGTCTTGCCACTCCCTAACCCACTTCATAGGAGGCCCTCAGAATTGCCGGCATTTTCCGGGTGTTGTCCAGCCTCTGCAGAAGACAGCAAGCTGACCCCTCCTCATTCTAGAGGCTGCGTTTACCCTCTGATAATGACCCCTGGTGGGCCCCTGCCCTGGTGGCAAGTCTTCAAGTCCAGGGTGGCAGTCAGGATGGGAGTGGATGCCATGCCCTGTGTCATCCTCCGCTGTCCAGATCGCCGGCTTCCCCAGCAGGCAACCAGGGCACTGGGCCATGATCCATATGGTCCCCACTGTTGTTATTTCTAAGTTGAGTACATGAGAGTGTAGGGGTTCCTAGGGGAGCAGGGAGGGGTCACAATATGCAACACGCAACCACCGTCTCCTGGCTCCCTCTTTTCTTCACCTGCCACCTTTGCTCTTCACCCACTTCTTTTCCTGGGGAGCTCCAAATTCCGCCTCCCACAGGCAGAGAGCATTCTCTGTCTTTGAAGCACAGCTCACAGCAGACCTTCAAGGGCACCCACCTTCCACGGATCACCTGAGGTCAGGAGTTCGTGACCAGCCTGGGCAACATGGCAAAACCCCGTCTCTACTAAAAATACAAAAATTAGCTAGGTGCCGTGGCTCAAGCCTGTAATCCCAGCACTTTGGGAGGCTGAGGCGAGAGGATCACCTGAGGTCAGGAGTTCAAGACCAGCCTGGCCAACATGGTGAAACCCCATCTCTACTAGAAATACAAAAATTAGCTGGGCATGGTGGCGCATGCCTGTAATCCCAGCTACTCGGGAGGCTGAGGCAGGAGAATCGCTTGAATCCAGGAGGTGGAAGTTGCAGTGAGCTGAGATTATTCCACTGCACTCCAGCCTGGGCAACAAGAACGAAACTCCATCTCAAAAAAAAAAAAAAAAAAAAAAAAAAAAGCACCTGCCTTCCACCCCAGATTGTCCCTGCAAAGGGAGCACTCTCCCTCAGAGACATGGTGCCAGCTTCAATGGCACAGGTTCATCATACCGAATCCAAAATGCGCCAATGAGCATTTCCTTTCAGCATTGTGTCTGGCACTCAAAAAGTTTCAGATTTTTGAGCCTTTGGATTTTTTAAATTTGGGATGCTCAACCGGTAAGTATTATATAATGCAAATATTCCAAAATCTAAAATCCAAAACACTTCTGGTCCCAGGCCATTTTGGATAAGGGATATTTGACCTATGATGGCAAGATTCCTGGAAGCTGCAGACATAGGCTGGACAAAACTCGGGAGACAGCAGAAAAAGAAAGTGATGATCAGCATTGACATTTATAAAAAATGTTTGAGTCTCCAAATATTAGAGGTCCCAATTGCCTTTTAAATTAAAAAAAAAACAACAACTGCTTTTGTAAAAATGATACAGGTTTGTTTTAATGATTCAAACAGGCCAAGTGCGGTGGTTCATGCCTGTAATCCCAGCACTTTGGGAGGCTGAGACGGGAGGATCACTTGAGGCCAGGAGTTTGAGACCAGCCTGGCCAACATAGTTAGACCCCGTCTCTAAAAAAAAAAAAATAGCCAAGTGTGGGGGTGTGTGCCTGTAGTCCCAGCTACTTGGGAGGCCGAGGCAGGAGGATCACTTGAGCTTGGGAGTCTGAGGCTACAGTGAGCTGTGATTGCACCACTGTATTCCAGCCTGGGAGACAAAGTGTGATCTTGTGTCAATCAATCAATCAATCAATCAATCAATCATTCAAACAGAAAGTTCAAAGGAGAAAGTAAAAATCACTTTAAATGCCATTCCATAGCAAGAACCAGAGTTAACATGGGCTGACTACATTTTTTTTTTTGAGATGAGGTCTCACTCTGTTGCCCAGGCTGGAGTGCAGTGGCACCATCTGGGTTCACTGCAATCTCTGCCATCCGGGCTCAAACGATCCTCCCACTTCAGCCTCCCAAGTAGCTGGGACCACAGGTGTGCACCACCACACCAAGATAATTTTTTGTATTTTCTGTAAAGGTGAGGTCTTGCCACGTTGCCCAACCTGGTCTCAAACTCCTAAGCTCAAGCAATCCACCTGCCTTGGCCTCCCAAAGTCCTGGGATTGGATCGCAGGCATGAGCCACTGTGCGCGGCCAATCCCGACGACCATTTTTAAAGTGTCTTTGCTTACGCCCCGCATCAGTGGGGTGGGGAAAAGGCTGAAAGGGTTTTCTCCTACTCCTGTCTATTGTGAGCTTCAGCTACCACAGGGCTGTCCTGTAAGGGAGCTGGAGGATGGGCTTGGGGGTTATTTTTATTTTTTTAAGCCTGCTCTAAATGCAGACCAGGATGCCAGGACTGGGACTACTGCCTCCTATCTGGTTTTAGACAGAGACACATGGGCACTACAAATAGCCTGGAAGGCCCTTCTGCTCCAGCGTAACCCGAGAGCAGGACACATTCCCCGCAGGGCAAGCGGGAAGCCTGGGGCTGCACGTCCTGCACTGGGCCTCTGCAGAGGTGGAAAGGACGGGTGCAGAAGGGTCAGGCGCCCGCCCGACTCAGCCCCTTCCATAAAAGGGGCCGGTCCTCCCTCGTTCCAGACCCTGAACACCTGTCAGGCAAGGGAAGCTCGCTGTGCTGTCAACACTGCATCATTCACACAGATTAGGCCACCGGGAATCTCTGGGACCATAAATTATCAGGTGGGGGTTGGGGAAGGGCAGCACACACCACTTTTACTCCAAAGGTCCCTGGTGCATCCTTGATCCTTGTGCCTTTAAGGCACTTGCTCGGGGAAATGCTTCATTCCTCACGCAAGGTGAACCCGTGGTTTGGGGACCTGTGTCCTCCTTTCCCTTCCAGAAGTTGTCTTGTCAGACCCCAGGCTCCTCTCATCCCACCCTGCCTGCCCCCAGGCTGCCTTTCTTAGCTCTGTGGTCCTGCTGCCTGCACGACCCTGGATCTGCTCAGCCTTTGCCGCAAACCTCAGGAACATCGGTGAGGACACTGACAGCTAGTACCCTCAGGCAGGTGTCCCTGCGCTTTCCTGCCAGCTCTTCTAACCAGCCTATTGTCCAACAAATGAGGTGATCCAAGCTGTCGTCCTCCCCAGAGGCCCCAGGCAGGCGAGCCAGTCTTCCCAGCCCTCTCCCCCTAGTACCTGGGAGATAATCTTACGGATGAGTCATGAGGGGAGGCCTCTTCCCAGGCTCTGAGCAAACTCCCCCGACCCCCCGGCACAGGCCTGCGGTGGACGCCCCTCCCCACGCCCTCGAGTCAGCAGAAAAGCAAGAACTCATCTCAGCGGCTTCATCAGACCCATCCTCCCTGCCCCCTCCACAGCTGGAGCAGGCCCAGGCCACCGGGAGGCGGGGCCCACGTTTTTACCCTGCTGTGTGCTCCGGGAAGGCAGAAGGCAAAACCTGGACCAGCCTCCGCCGCTGCCTCCCCATCACCCCACCAAGCTGGGAATAGAAGAAACATCTGTTTGGAGTCTAGAAGCTCCCTGAACTCAAACCTCGTGCTGGGGAAGCACAGCCCGGAATCGCTCTGGTTCTGGCTGCCAAGGGGAGCTGTGTTCCCTGCAGGCTGGGGCATGGGGCCACCACCCCATGGCCCGGGGCATCCCTCTCCCTGCCACAGCCTAGCCTGGTCTAGGGCAGAGGGTGACCAAGGTGACCAGGGCATAAGCGGGCATCACTGGACTTAGACAAGGAAGAATCCTGCAAGACAGTGTCGCCTCACCCTGGGGTGGGTGTGGGGGTGACCTCGCCGCTGGAGTGGGTGCTGGAGTGACCTTGCCGCTGGGGTGGGTGCTGGGGTATCCACCCCGATACCCTGACCCTGTGTCCTCTGACAGTCTGATTGACGGTTGCCACGTCTGGGCTTCGGCAGCTGGGCCCCATCCTCATGAGCTGCCCGCTCCCTGCACCACCCATTCCCCTTGGCTCCACCACACCATCGTCTGGATCCAGTTGCACAACACGCTCGTCCAGAGCTGTTTCTGCAATTAGGATGACAGCTAACCCCAAGCAGCCAAGACAGAAAGGCTTTTAAAGTATACAAGGAGTTCTTGTGACCCCAGGGGGCTGAGTCCAAGCGCGTCATCCAAGGCAACATAACAGGGCTGATACCGATATTCCAAAAACTCAGGCTAAGGAGCTCAGAGCCAGTCTCGATTCTGCCCTCGGAGAGAGAGTTGCTGCCCCAGAGAGGGGCAGCTATCTCAGGTCAAAGCGAGACTTACAATACCAAGTGCAGGTTACAAGACCCTCTGGCTCTGATTCTTTCCCTGGCCAGGCTCAGGGGCCGGGGTGGTGGGCCAGGGCCGGGGCTGGGGCCGGGGCCAGGTGGTTGGTGGTTGGGCTGGGAAAGGAATGAGGAAGGCAGGTGAGGCCTGGGGTGAGGCTCCTTTAACCCAACAAGCCCATGAGGACCACTTTTTTTTTTTTTTTAGAGATGGCGTCTCACTCTGCCACCCAGGCTGGAGTACAGTGGTGCGATCTCAGCTCACTGCAACCTCTTTCTCTTGGGTTCTAACAATTCTCCTGCCTCAGCCTCCTGAGTAGCTGGGACTCCAGGCGCCTGCCACCATGCCTGGCTAATTTTTTGTATTTTAGTAGAGACAGGGTTTCGCCGTGTTGCCCAAGCTGGTCTCGAACTCCTGAGCTCAGGCAATCCACCCGCCTTGGCCTCCCAAAGTGCTAGGATTACAGGTGGGAGCCACCGTGCCCGGCCAAGGACCACTCTTAAATGTGGGCACTGAGGACTCAGACCAGAAACAAACAAGGTCGGTTGTAGACCGACGTCAGAGGCTGACAACACAAGGCACAAAGGCAGGGAGAGAATAACAAACGCGCCCTCCAGAAGACTCGGCTTTGGGGACGGCCTTACTTCTCTCTGAGCTTCAGAGAGCTTAGCATTGGGCAGCCCCGAACACCACTCATCTGTGCCCTGCTCCCTGCCCTGGGGGCCAGGATGAACCACAGCCCTGGCCCTCTGTCTTCAGATTGGGTTCAGTCACCATGAGGCCCTGGCGTGAGGCAGGAGGGGAATGAGGTTGGGACACTTATCCACAGCTCCCTCCCTGCCAGGTCGCAGCGAGCTGACTGCAACCATTTGCCCAAAGCGCAGCTCTTATCAGACAGTCCTCCGCACCCAGGCCACGGGCTGAGATCCGCCACACTGCTGTTATCCCGAGGCTGCTGCATGAGGCCTGACCCACGACCTCATTCCTGCCCACGCCTTTGTAAAGGGTCCCTTTATTAAACTCTCCTCGCCCAGTTCTTGACTGTGCCCCCGTCCGCCGCTGGAGCCCTGGCAGACAGACCTGACTTTGCCAACTCTCCTGAGGCCCTCGGCCAAAAACCAAATCCCGAACTGGCTTTCCAGGTGCCTCCTGACCCCAGAGCCACCCCCAAATCTTCACCCTAGAGGTGGGACCTAAGAAGCTAGGCAATTTCACAATAAATGCCAGAACACCATTTCGGGAAGGAAAATCTTATTGGAAGCAAAAATCTCCTTTTAAGTGGCCCAGGTCATATCCAGTTCCTTGCTAACTGGCAGCTGTGGCTCATGCAAGCAACGGCATCTCTCCATCAGTCCAGAGAGGACAGATTCAGAGCTTTGGGGGACCCTGTCCTGCTGCCCTTCATGCCTGGTCTGTGGCTGGTCTCCCAGAGTGCACCTCAGAAGCTGGGCACCTAGCAAAAAGGGCAGGTCCCCAGGAACGGAGTCCCCCTCCACCACTGAGTGCTGTGTGACTCTGGGAAAATCCCTCTCCAGGCCTCAGTCTTCCCATCTGCACAAGAGGTACACAGACCACATGGCCCCAGGGTCCTTCAGCTTTGCAGACAGCGGCCCGACATCCCACTCGCCCCCATGCCCCACCTGGGGAAGAAGTTGGGCTCAGGGACTGGGCTGGGGCTGGTAGCCAGCAGGAGCCACCATACTCACTCGGCCATGGTGAAAGCCAGCTCGAAGTTCTTCTGCCTCTGCGTGGGGCTCAGGGAGTTGTAGTCAAAGGCATCGGGGAAGAAGGAGTGTACCAGGGCGCAGAAGGCCATGCCGTCGCTCCAGCTGGAGGAGAAGTTCTGCAGGTCCACGTGCTGCAACAGGGTGAGTGGGGTCAGTGCGGGAGGGCAGCTGGGCACCCACTCGGAAGGCATAATTACCGTGGTTCCTACCCCTTAACCCCAGCCTCAGCGGGCTCCTGCCCAGGCGGGAGAACAAGGACAGGGGCGACGCTTGGTCAAGCTTTTAGCTGGGGCGTCCCAGCAGCCGGAGGGGAGCCGGGGCTCACCTGGTAGCCCAGCGTCTTGCTGCGGCACCACTCGAGCAGGATCTGCTTGATGCTGCTGGCGCTGGCCACGCCGAAGCTCTGCGACCGCTTCAGCCTGGCCCGGGCCTCGCCTTTCCCCCTGCGGAGAGACGGCAGGCCTGCTGCGGGGGCCCCTCCAGCTGCCATCTCCCAGTGCGGGTCTGGGGCAGGGGAGGCTGTCCTGGCACCACCAAGGAGGGTGCTCCCACCTGCTCTGCTCACCCAGGGGAGATGCTGGTGGCACACGTGGGCTCAGCTGTGCCCACGTCCACGGCACAGCCCATGTACCAGCGACACAGCCTCCTTTGATGGTATGTGGCAGGACCGTCCACACCCCTACAGCCCTCCAGGTCCCCTGTTTATTCCCCATCCAGGAAGCAGGGGTCACCTGGGAATCCTGAGACAGAAGACCTTGGCTCACATGGCCCTGGGCCCCTGCCTTCTGCTTTGGAACACCTTTCCCAGCTCCTTCCTCCCACTCCTCCTTCTGAGCTCCCCTCTTAATGGGGTGCCTCCTTCCCTGATGGCTCTTTCCTAGCCAGGAGGGATGAGTTCCTCTTCTGGGCCCCAAGGACAGTCCCTAATGGCCTAGGCCAGGTTGTTTGGGGCCAGTGGGGAGATGTCCGGGGTCGGTCCCCCTCACTAGAGTCGAGCAGGGACTGGCTGTCGTCTTCATTATCCCACAAGGCCTGGGCCACACCCTGCACACAGCAGGCATCAATACCACGCTTGGGCCACACTCTGCACACAGCAGGCATCAATACCACGCTTGGGCCACACCCTGCACACAGCAGGCATCAATACCACGCTTGGGCCACACCCTGCACACAGCAGACATCAATACCACGCTTGGGCCACACCCTGCACACAGCAGGCATCAATACCACGCGTGGGCCACACCCTGCACACAGCAGACATCAATACCACGCTTGGGCCACACCCTGCACACAGCAGGCATCAATACCACGCGTGGGCCACACCCTGCACACAGCAGACATCAATACCACGCTTGGGCCACACCCTGCACACAGCAGACATCAATACCACGCTTGGGCCACACTCTGCACACAGCAGGCATCAATACCATGCACTGACACGAGGACTGGCTGAATATGCAAAGGTGGGCTGGAGCCTGAGGAGCCGTCGCTCGAGACCTAGTAGCAGGCTGGAGGCCACTCGGCCCCGTGGCATCACCTTCGGTCCTTGGGCAAGACCAACCCCATG
The DNA here is from genome assembly GCF_000001405.40 of Homo sapiens. Classification (NCBI taxonomy): domain Eukaryota; kingdom Metazoa; phylum Chordata; class Mammalia; order Primates; family Hominidae; genus Homo; species Homo sapiens. The sequence goes on along the minus strand of NC_000017.11, from coordinate 4,595,735 downwards.
CTGGGGCTCCCAGCTCTGGCCAGGAATCCCAGTCCCCATCCAGTCCCCGGTCATGCCCAGAAACCAGAGGAGCCACAACCCCTGGGGAATGTGGGTGTGAGGGCAGCCTGGCGGCACCAGAGACAGGACAGGGGGCCTCGGGAATGGAGGAGGAGAGAGGGGCTCTCACCAAGCCTTCCTGGCTCCCTGCCTCACAGCCATCTCCCCCAACAACTGGGGTCCTCTGTCCCCCCAAGCTGCCCTGTGGCCCAGCCCTAACTTTGTGCCTTGCCCAAGAGATCTTGTCCTGGGCAACAGCGCCCTGGGGAACAGGACAGGGCTGAACCTTGCCCTGCTGCACCCACCCAAGCCCCGTCTGGGTCTGGGCACACCGTGGGGCCGGGCCTGTCTGTGAGTGGGCATCCGTACTTGCCGGCCGCCGTTTCCTGCTCCCACTTCTCAAACAATGCTTTCCGGGCCTGCGCCTCCGAGGTGCGGGGCAGCGTCTGCGACCTCACCAGCTCCCTGCGACGCTCCCCCTGCCGATGGACCTGAGTTATGGCTGGCGGCTGCGGGGACACGGGCGACTGGGGTGGTGTCACCAGCGGTGGGCTGAGGAAAGAATCGCCGAGTTGGGACCTGGGCCCAGCAGCCATCACTAGCTCACCAGGCCCCAAGGTCTCCATTGCACTGAGTGTGGACAAGGCAGCCTGCACCGTGATGGGCGCTCAGAGAAGAGGCCCCCTTGCTCCGGTCCCTAGCTGGTTTGACAGGTTTTCTGAATTGTGCTGGCTGGAGGGACTGGCCAATAGGCTCAACTCAGGAGACGCTGGGCCCGATCTGGACATAACCACCCCTTTGCAGGTGTCAATGCCTGGGGAGGACAGAGGGACCCCCTCCTCAGGCAGGAGGTGTGCTCAGAACCAGCCCCGGAGGGACCAGGCCTCCTGCCTCCACCACCATGCGATAAGACCCCCTTTGTTTTCCCCAGAACGGTTTGCCAGAAAGTCACAATTCTCCTTTTATTATTAAAGAAAAAAAAAAAAGCCAAGCCTGCTACCCTACCCCCATCCCCAATCACAGTCCCGCTGGCTGGCTGGGGGGAGGCCTGTGCCACAGGGAAGGACCTGCTCACCTGCCCCTGCTCGCAGCCCGTGGGCAGGAAGTTCCGGGCTCTGAGGGACCCCAGCTGGCTGGGATGGAAGAAGACAAAGCTCCTGTCCTCTCCCTCCTGCCGGCTGAGAGGCCTCCTCCAATATTTTTTTGTTTTTTATTCATTTATTTATTTATTTATTTATTTATTTTTTGTAGATAGAGTCTCACTCTGTTACCTAGGCTGGAGAGCAGTGGCACCATCTTGGCTCACTGCAAACTCCGCTTCCCGAGTTCAAGCGATTCTCCTGCCTCAGCGTCCCAAGTAGCTGGGATTACAGGCACCCACCACCATGCCCAGCTAATTTTTGTATTTTTAGTGGAGACAGCGTTTTGCCATGTTGGCCAGTCTGGTCTCGAACTCTTGACCTCAGGTGATCCACCCACCTCAACCTCCCAAAGTGCTGGGATTACAGGTGTGAGCCACCGCGCCCGGCCACTCCTCCAATCTTTTGACTGACTTGAAGGTCCCACAAAGAAACCAGGCTGTGACCATATTTCTCCAAATGAAACTCTCCACCGAGGCCCACTGCCTCACTCCCCCTGCTCAGACCTTCCCCCCATCCTGCCGCCCAGTGCTCCCGAGATCCAGCCCCGAGCCTTACCAGGAGGCACCAACCCCAGGGCCAACCCTGGGCGGCCTGCGTCCAAAGCAGAGAAGACACCTGGGGCGCAGCGACCCCACAGGAACACAGGCCCTGACTCACCTATTGCTGTGTTTGCTTGCTGTCACTGCCCCATAGCCAGAGCTTGGCACAGACCACGTGAAAGAGGAATTCTTCTCTGTGGAAGAGAGAGGGAGAGAAGTAACAAACCCTGGCCCCAGGGAGGGCCCGCCATAGCCTCCCTTCCTCTGACCCAGCCCTGCCTCATTTACCCGGCATCGCTGCATGGATGAGCTAACCTTCTGGGCTAAGCTGGCCCTGCCTCAGCAGACAGTGGAGGAGAAAGGAGGATGGGCACACACAGCAACAACATCAAAGAGGTCTTTTCAACTGTCCCCGCCCTGCTCTTGAGAGCACAGAGCCCAGGGCCCGTGCCATGTATCCAGTGAACACTGCTCCCAAACCCTCCCTATAGAGGCCCACACGGCTTCCCCCAGGACATACCACGGAGGACTGGCCACAGGCCCAAGTCAGGCCTGGGGCCTTGAGGGAGGGGACAGTGCCCAACGTGCAGGGCAAGAGGCCACCTTCCAACTGTAATAAAAGCCACGGTCGCCCCCACCAGGGGATGACGCTATTTCACAGCATCTCTGGGCAGTAGCCCGGGAGGATGGGCTAAGGGAAGGGGCTGACATGGCAGGCAGAGGCAGGGCTGGGCTTAGCCCCTCGTTTTCCATGTCACCCACCGACTCCCTCTCCCCAGCCCCGGCCTTCCCTCTCCCATCCCAAGGGGAGGTCTGCCCCAAGGCCACGCTCTCCAGCTCATACCGCTAGGACTGGGAGTCCAGGGCGTGATGACCTCGCTGGGGCTTGGGTTGAGGCCCCCCAGGGTGGCAGCAGACATGGGTGATAGAGCCGCAGCTGAGGTCTCCCCAGAGAACCTGTCAGAGACTCGGGTGATGGCCGTGACTGGCTGGTGGGGCAGCCGCAAGGAGAGGCTCACAGGACGAGGCCTGGGGGGATCTGGTGCTGAGAAGTTTTGGGCAATCTCAGGGGGTCCATCGCCTGGACCTGGAACATGTGACCAGCATGGGTGGGTGGTCAGCTGTGGCAGCCACAGGGGCCTGGGACCTCCCAGGAGGGCTCTAGCCTCCCTGGGCCCTCCTCCCACCTCCTCTAGGAAGGCCTCCCTGACTGCTCCAGCCTCTCTGACCTCCCCTACCAGGGATATCTTACTGCTCCAACCAGAATTGATTTTTCCCAACTTCCCCTCATGGCCAGCTTAATAAATACTAGTCGGCTCCTCAGCCTCTATTTGCTTTCCTCTAGAAACAGGAGAGCTCACTACCTCCTGAGATCTCCCAACTTCCCTCTGTGTTTCACAAGTTCTACTGAATGACGCTGCTCTCCTGGCAGCCTCTCTCCCTGCTGGGGTTCAGGATAGAGTCCCCCCGATGCCAGGCCAAGGGCCAGCCTGGCACAGATACCTGACCAAGGCCTTACTTAACCCCCAAACCTACCCAGCCACCCCTCCTCTGCCGTCAGCCCTACCTGCCCCCGGCTGGTGCCCATTTTCCATGATGCAGGAGTTTGAGGTCTTTCTCATCTCCGACTCACTGGCCTCATCGTGATCCAAACTCTACAGAGACACAAATGTCACCGAGACCCCATCAGCTAGGGCCAGCTGCCCACCCCCAAAAGCTGCCCACCCCCAAATCCCCTCCCGTTCTGGCAAAACACCAATCATGTTGAGAGAAAACAGCCCCCAGGAAGAAAGTGACGGGCCAAGTCACACAGCAAAAGCTGGGATGGCCCCACTCCAACTGCTGAGCCCCTGCGATCCTGGGAGGCAAACACCTCCACTGGGCTCCTCCCAGAGTCCCAAAAAGCTGAGGACAGAAGTCAAGATGGAGGGTTCCAATGACATTAGGCCCCCTCACCTTTTCCCCCAGGCTGGACCAGATGATGGGGTCAGGAGTGCCTCGCCCCCTGCCCCTCTCAGCTGGGCCAGGTCGGCATGGCTACCCGTGCAGGGGCAGCAGGAACCAGTGGCACCAGGTCCTTCTGGGCCAACGATGAGCTACGGAGCCCTGATCACGATGAGATCTTTGCATGGGAGGCGGGGACACAAGATTTACCCGGCTATGCAGAGTGCAAGCGCCTGATCAGCTCCGTGCGACTCATCCATCCCAGCTGGGCAGTAGTAGTGGGTGGGGCAGGTGGGGGCAGACAAGACAGCCAAGGCCAAGAGCCAGTGGGGAGCCTGGGATCCAGGCTGTGCTGCCACCCACCCATGTGACCTGGGCCACATCAGTTCCCCTCTGGGTCTGTTTCCCTGTTTGAGAAACGGGAGCAGGCTAGGCAAGTGCCACTCGGCATCTACCAAACATCCAGCCCTTTTTCCGGTGCTATCCTTATAGCAACACCTTCTAAACACCACTTATAGCAACTGTCCTCCCCGGTAGGTGCTGCCAGAGCCATTTCAGAGATGGGGCCCGAGGACTCCCAGAGGGCATGTGCCCTGCCCAAAGTTATACAGCAAAAAACAGCTGGCACGTGTGGCCAGGGGAGAAGTCCTCAACCTTGGTCCTGCCCTCCTCACAGCCAGGGCGTGTGAACGGCTGAGAGTGTCTGTGGGGCTGGTGGGGGCTCCACCACGAGCCCAGGACGAGCGGCTTGAGAGGTCGGCTGTGCCTCTCCCAGATGCCCCCTGGTCTACAAGGTTCCCAGGCAAATGATGTTGCATCCCTGGCCCCAGATGGCTCAGCTCCTCTTGCAACCAGTGCGGGAGGTGCCACCCTGCCATTGGGGAATCAGTCTGGGAGGGGAGCCAGGCTGGTGAACAGAGGGGGCCGTGTCAGGATAAGGATGCCTCACACAGGCTTCATCTGACCCAGTGGGGCAAGGAGGGCTTCTCAGAGGCAGGGGTGCCTGAGCCACATCCAGAGTGAGCCCGGTGGAGGAGCAAGGGAGGGCACTCCCAGCAGAGTGATTAGTGTCTGCTTTTGCAGAGAGACATCAAGGCACAGGTATCCTGATCATGCCCGTCCAGGACGCAGGCAGATGGAGAAGTGCCCTGCCGCCCAAGCTGCCTGCCCTGCCGCCCAAGCTGCTGGCCCTGGGTACTTGACGCCTTAGACAAGAAGGAGCCCAAGGTCCTCGGCTCTGTGTTTCAGGCACACCCTTCAGAAGATGCCAGAGAGTGGAGACCAGATGGCAAGACACTTCACTAGTCCTGGGCAGGAACCTGGGGAGGGGAGATGGGGCACTGGGAGGGCCACGGGCAAGAAGGACTCGGAGCTTTGGGGAAAAGGGATCTGGCTGGGAGACTGGGTGGACATGGAAGAGGAAGGGTGCCAAGCCTCTCCCAAGCCCAGACTTGGTGGGTCAGGGCAGGTTTAGGGGCTAAATGAGGGTTTCAGTTGGGACATGTTGAGGGCCTGGGGCACCTGGAGCATCAGGGAGCTGAGGAGGTAGCTGGATTTTTGAGTCTGGAGTTTAAGAGAAAAGAAGGACGAACATGGAAAAACAGGAGTCAGGGGCATGCACTGGGCTCCTGGAAGCCCAGCAGAGGAAGAGCAGCTTAGGGGCCCTGGGATGAGGCCCCCACATTTCAGGAAGCAACAGAGCAGTCTGCGGAGAATGAGGAGCAGCCAGAGACGTAGGAGGAGCCCCTGAAGAATGGTGAGAAAGCCAAGGCCAGGAAGGAAGGGAGTCAAGAAGCCAGGCACGGGGCCAGGCGCGGTGGCTCACGCCTGTCATCCTAGCACTTTGGGAGGCCGAGGCGGGTGGATCACTTGAGGTCACGAGTTCAAGACCAGCCTGGCCAACGTGGTGAAACCCCATCTCTACTAAAAATACAACAATTAGCCAGGCATGGTGGTGGGTGCCTGTAATCCCAGCTACTCAGGAGGCTGAGGCATGAGAATCGCTTAAACCCAGGAGATGGAGGTTGCAGTGAGCCAAGATTGCACCACTGCACTCCAGCCTGAGCAACAGAGCGAGACTCTGTCTCAAAAAAAAAAAAAAAAAAAAAAAAAAAAAAAAAAAAAAAAAAAAAAGCCAGGTGCGTCCAAAGGCAGCCTGGGGTTGAGGAAAAGGTGAAGAGGAAATCCAACCAGGCATCCATTGGGTTCAGCAAAAGAAGAGGTCATGGGTGATCAGAAGCGTGGGGCGGGGGACAGGGGGTTGGGGGACAGGAGATGGCCTAGCAGAGGGGTCCCAGAGAAATGAAGACAGCGCAGTAACTTTAGCCCTGAGCGAAGCCAGGGGAAAGGGTCTGAGGGGTTTTTCCAGAAGGAAGAGGCAAGACCACATTCATAGGGTGAGAAAGGTGAGGGGAGCATCTGCAGAGCGGGACCACTGGGGAGCTCACAGCAGACAGGACCCAGAGCCTGGGAAGAGCCAGCCTTGGAGAGGAGGCGACCCCTGAGCTCTTGATTCAAGAGTGGGAGGAGGAGAGGCCAGGCCCACTCTCAGAAACGCAAGAAAAGCACAGGGCGTCTCCCAGCACGCAGAGCAGAACGGGTGCCCCTAGAGCCACGCTGCGGCCGTGTAGACCATGTCGGCAGGGGGAGGAGAACCAGCCAGTCCAGCTGGAACCCCGGCCCCCACAGTCACCAGGCTCTGGGGTCTCCGTGCCCCCTCACCCACCCTGCTCTCGTCTGACAGGTTCCACAGGTCCAGGCGGGGCTCTGGGGGGAAAGGCTGAGGGTGAAACCATTTTCCCAGGAAATATGTTTCTCTATAGGTGGGTGGGAGGCCCTCCGCAGATGCCTGTCCCTGCACGTTGCAGCCCCTCAACAACCCCCATGATGCCCCAGGGGACCAGGCGCTACACCAGACTGGGAGTAAGTTCTATCCTGGTTAGATCACTGCTAAGGGTTCTCCGGCAAAGGGAGGAGGGGAAGGGGCTGGGCTAATGCAGGCTGGGGTGTAGGGCTGAGCCCAGACTCCCAAGCTCCCCTGCCCCACGACTAGAAGCATTCGTCACCTGGGGAAAGGGGTCTGCCCGTGCCTTAGGTCAAGGCGCAAGGGGCTATTCTGAGACCATCCTCCAACCCATCATCACACAGATGGGGAAAGCAAGACGTGGGGTGGGGCAGGGGGAACCCCTAAACCCCACACCATGACTAAAGGTAGTGGCAGAGCCAAAGTACGGGACTCGGGTCTCCCACCCCAAACCAGGGCTCTGTCCACAAAGTGCTCTGGCCTTCTAGGGGGCAGAGAGGACAACTCAAGGCAAAGTTGTCTTCCAGGACCTGGGTCAGTATGAGCCCCGGCCCCATGGGATCTGTCTTAGCCAATGAGTGTGAGGAAAAGGCGGGGGACTGGGGTCACCACCCAGTGGGACCTTCACAGAACTCAGAGGTCTTCAACCAAAGGGCTGGGCTGGAACGAGCTGTCCCCGCAGAGTCCCCAGTGGGTTACTGCTCTCCTTTGATGGGGGCAGCCTGTCGCCGTCATGCGGAAGGAAACCAGGGAGGGGCCTCGGTATGCTGGGACCGGGGCAGAAATCGCTGGAGAGCCCTGGGGCTGGGGACAGGTCCTGTTGAGCTGGCCTGGTACCCCCCAAGATTCCCCAGCTCGGCTTTGTTTTGAGAAAGGGGAGGTGCCCCATGAGGGAGCCCAGGCCTGAGGCACTCACGGGAAAGGCGGAAGGGTGATGAGGTAAGTCTGATTTCAGGGACCTTCTTATTGGAAAAGCTTTTAGACATTTTTGTAGGGGAAGGAAGAATATTTCAGGCCTTCTGGGTGCTGCCTGATCTGCACGGGCCCATCCATGGGGACGAGACCCACGCAGGGCCAGAGCCCCATCCTAAGACAGTTCACACTGCTGACCCGGCCCTCCTCCACTCACAACACCGTTTGAAAGGACTTAATTCAAACTTCTCCCTAAAGCATTTAACTCTCTTATCGCACAGTGTGTCTGGGAAAGGAAGGCAGATAAGGCGAGTCTGGCTTCTTTCATGGTCGGGCCTCTGACATGGGGCTCCTGGCAGCTGTTCCTGGGGCCTCCGCTGCCTCGGGCATAGGGACCCAGTGGCTCCAGCTCAGCTGAGGATGACATTTCCAGGCCACAGCTCTGGCCCAACCTGCTGGGGCCTGGGCCTGGCCTCAAGCTGCCACCATCCACCCCCGGCCCCAAGCTGGCTCTCAGCTCCCTGCTCCCAGCCAGACAGGATTACTTGATCAACCCTTCCTGTATTGAGTTCAGGGGACATTTATATATTGGAGACAATCTACCTCCAATCCTTCAGTCCCCAGTTTGAAAGGAACTGGGTCTCTAAATGTCATTGCTTGTTACAGAGGGGTAGTGTGACACCAACCTCTACAATGCCAGGTAGTACAGCCATCCCTGGCTCATGTGGATGGGATGAGATTGTCCCACCCAGACCCCCACTACACAGACACAAAGTCTGAGAGGTCAGACACCCAGCAGCCTGGTGTGGGGCTGTGACTCTATGTCCATGGTCCACACTCCAGTCTCACCCTGAGCCCCGGCTCCTTGAGTGTGACCAAGCTCTTGATCACATCGTGCTGGTCACAGGACACGAGCCAGCACATGGGGATGGCTCCACACAGTCCCTCCTCTCAATGCTGGACACTGGTCTGGAGGCTGTGACAATGCTCCTGAGACGGAGGACAGCAAGAGAGATGGGGATTGGTGCTTCGGGGGTCAGCCCAGCGGCAGCTGCCTCAGGCCCCGGGAGCCAGGGCTCAAGGGGTGCAGAGCCTCTAACCCAACTGGGGACCATAGCCATGTTCCACCCACAGTGCTCAGCTACCCTTGCTGCTCATGCCCCTGGGTGCCTGGGTCTCCATCTTCACTCCCCAACAGGCCGACGCATCTTCACTGACCCCAGCCTCTTCTTCCAGGAGGGCTCCTTCTCTGGTTTGCTGAGAGTGCACTCAGGTCCTCCTCACTCCCTGGCAGTTCCCCGGTCTGGTTTTTAATTCCTTCAGACTCTTTGCTTCTGCCCAGAGAGCTCCCTAATCTCCAGGCTTGCTCACTGTGTGGAGCACCAGATCCATGAATCCACCTGCTCTGGGACAGCTTCACCTGGAGTTCCCATAGTCCCCTCATGTTCAGCACGACCCGGGTGGAACCCAGCATCTCACCCCAGATCTGTGACCCAGCAGTCCCCCAAGTCAGAGCTCCCCTCTGAGACTACCCCATCTGCTCATTCCCCCTCTGAAACCCTGTCCAAGGCAGCCCCTCTACACACCAAGGCCCACGGCCCAGCTCAGACCTTTCCTTTCTCCTTGGACCATCACAATCAAGTTACCCACCTCCAGCCACCCTCCACCTTCCATCCACCCCGAAGAGGGCTTGCCAGACACAAAGAAGACCCTCATCCTGAGCTTCATCCACCAACTCCTAACCTAGTGGACTAGCTTGGTGCCAGTGAACAATGGCTAATCTCCATTGACAAAAATCACGACTGGAGAGAATTCCCTCTCTCTCTCTCTCTCTCTCTCTCTCTTTGTGTGTACACACACATCTACATGTATATGTGAACCTGACATTTTTTTTTTTAATTTGGACAGCTGCTGCTATGAGCAGACAAATAGCAAATGCATGTTCAAATAAAACCTCAGAAACAACCGATGACACAGTTGATGAGGCACGTGTGAGCTCACAGTGGTGATTTTAGACCATGGTCACGTAGAGTGTCATGTTCATAAGACAGACTTAAGTGTATCCACATTTCCAGACATTTCACACGGAGCACTGGGACACTCCCGGGTTCTGCTACCATGACATGTTTAAGAACTTCTTACAGGCCGGGCAAAGCCCAACTCCTCTGCCCAGCACACTAGGGGCATTCGCCACTGCCCACTCCACTCGCATACCTCGAGGCTGCACTCACCAGTGAGTACTTTCAGCCTTTCTGAGGCTTCCTGCACAGCCCCCACCCCACCCTCATCTGCACCAGTAGCAGCAAGCCCCAGGCCCCCAGCACAAAGCCTTGCTGAGATACCCACTGAGAAGGGGCTAACTACTGTGTTTGGAGCAAAACATCTCTGGCTGCCCAAACTTGGTCTGGGGCCATCTCCCACCCTGGATGGGACCTCCAGGGGGAAGGCCCAATCTGATACCCTCCTCCAGGCCCCCTAGGGTCCAGCCCAGCCCACAGCGGGAAATCTGAGAGCCCCAGGGATTGCACCAAGGAGGGAGCAGGTGCAGGCTACACAGCCCCAGATCCTGGGAACCCAACCCGAGAGCACATGCCTGATCAGGATGGAAAATCCCACCCAAGGGCCACTGCACACACCATGGACACATTCTAACTGCTCTGGGTGGCCCATGCGCAAGGTAGTGACTGGTCCACGTCGGCCTCCGCCCTATCCCCACGTGGTGTGGGCCTCTGGCTAGTCACTGACCCGAGGAATCTAGACACGGCTCAAGGCGGGTTTCCACCTCTCTCCCTTCACGGTAAGGGATTTACCCCCTGCGATGGAGAGTTCCCAAAAGCCGCTGCTGATCGCGTCCCCCTCGACCCCCCTCCCCACCCATCCAGGGGCCTGAGTTCTCAATCTGAGTTAATCAATAACCAGAGCCGTCAGGCCTCAGTGAAGCGGCAACGCAGGGGAGCGTGAATGGAGGGTGGGGGTCAGGCAGGGGTGTCGACCATTCCAACATGCCCCGCGTGGCTCCAGGCAGTGCTGAACAGTCAGGGGCCGGACTTCGGCGCCCAAGCCGTTGATGTCATGGGACAGAGGAGAGAGGGAGACAGGACTCTGAGCAAACAGAGCCTGGCTCTAAAACAGGGCGGAGGACCAAGACAGGTGCAGCTGGCAGGCTCAGCGGTCCTCCCCCCGCCCTCTCCAACTCCGGAGGGGCGGCAGGACCCCCATCACCTAGTCCGAGCGGCCGGTGAAGGCCCCAACCCCGCAGACGCGAGCAGAGGCAGGCAGTCGGGGCGAAGGGGCGGCACCCGGTTCGGAGCCCCACTCCCTGGCGCCAGCGCACGCGCTCCCCCGGGCTCACCTGGCCGCGGCCGGACAGCGAGAAGGTGGCGTGGCTGGCGAAGCGTGCGCTGCCCAGGCGGGGCGCGCGGTCGGGAACCCCGGGCGCGGGCGGGGGGCTGGGCGTGCCGGGAGTGCCGGGCACCGGGGACATCCCGCTGGCCAAGCCCAGCGCCTCCACCTGGCGCGTCAGGCGCTCGAGCTGCGCCTGCAGCCGCTGGTTGTCCCGCTGCAGGTCGGCCACCGTGCGCGCCAGGGGGCCGGCCAGGCGCATCGCCTCTGCCACTCGCCGCTCCACGCCGCGCTGCAGCCCCCGCATGTCCTCGTGCAGCGCGCGCACCGCACCCTCCAGCGCCGCCTCGTAGCGGCCCAGCGCCTCGCGCACAGTGCGCGCCTCCTGGGCGTCGGGGGCCGGCTCCATGGCCCAGCAGAGCGCGCGGGTCGAGAGCGGGCCAGACGGGGGAGAAGATCCGAGCTCCGCAGCTCCGGGCCGCGACTGGCCGTCCGTGGCTGGCTTCGCTCGAGGGGCTGCCGGGGAGGCGGGCGCGGGGCGGGGCCTCGGGGGCGGAGCCGGGGACGACTCCGGGACACCCCCCTGCCCTGGAGCCCAGCGGGACGGTGCGGAGGGAGAGCTCGCCCAGCCTCTCCCCTCCCCGGCTCTTAACTGAGCCCTGCGACCCCGGAGGAGCGGCGTGCGGCCTGCGGGAGGGGCGGCGGGCCCACCCGAAGAAGGCCCTGGCCCCCCTGGACCGTAGAGAGCACACCCGGGCTGACGCGTTCGCTCGGGACTCTCACCCGCAAGGCCCAGGTTCCTCCGGGGGCGGAGACTCCCGGGCTAATGGGGACACCTACAGCTCCCACAGCTGCCGCCCCACTCCGCGGGGCCCTCCCTATGCAGCGGCCACGGCTCTCGCAGGCACACGCTCACCTGTGGGACCTTCGCCTGGAATTTCTTGTATCTGTTCTAAGACCTCAGGGAGGAGACAGGTGGTGAGGTCCCCTCCCTGACTCTGCGACTACGCGCTGTCCCCTCCCAGTCCTACTCTGTATAGCAAGATCTTCGTGCCCTTCCCACTAGTGGTCGGTAGAGGCTCCCGACCCACCAAGGGGCCTCCGTTAGGAGATCCTGGAGAGGCTAAGGGCAGACAGAGAAAGAAGGGTGTGCTGGAGCTGCATCTCCAAATCCTGGAATGGGCGGCTTTGCGACTAATCGCCCCCTCCCGCAATGAGAGTCTCAGTCACTGGCCTCTACCCGTAGGCCAGGGGTCTTACCCCTATTCCTTCTCAATGCTCTTTATGGCTGAACCCAGATAGTTCCCCCTTCCAAATGCACACCCCAAACCATCACCAGAAAAGGGAAGAAGGGAAACAGGTGTTGCTTTAGGACGATGGGATGATGGGCAAAGCTAACTCTAAGTTTTCGCTATATCATAAAGCTGATTTAAAATAAAAATGAGAACATATCCTCCTTTGTGCAAAAAACCTTTCCTAATTGGCCTTCTTTTTCCCAAGCCTGGCCTGCCTGAAAGAGGCCCAGAGGCTGGGCATGCATAGCCAGCTGACCTGCAGGAAGGAGAAGTCTGAAAGGCTTGTTCATATCATGTTCTGCTCCCAAGGTTGTTTGGAGCCCACAAACCCTCCTGGACTGGCCATCATTGCCCCAAAGGAACTGGAGCAGCCTGACAGATGCTAAATGCTGGTTCTCTCCCCCGCCCCCAGCCCCAAGGGGACAGGAAGGAACGCTGGGTTACCTAATCCAAGGAGCCTTCCAGCAATTATTTCATGAAAAAGGCAAATGCCAAAAGGTGTGCATGCTGCATATATGTGTGAGCATGTGTGTGCATTCCAGGTAGCCATCTGGACAGGGTGAGCCAAACTGCTCCCTGAATGCTTTCTCCAGGTGGAATCTTTAGTAGCAGCCTCCAGAGACGCTGCTGCTGCTCTTGCCGCAGACAGCACTCAAAGCCCCTCCAGGTCTCAGCACAAGAACCTGGAGTTCAAAAACCCTGGTCTCAGCCACAGAAGCCCAGTCCCTTCCCTTCTAAGATCCAAGGAAGGACCGTGTGGAGAAGCCTTGAGAGGGACTGGACAGGCTGGTCTCTAGGCTTCTCTCCATCCTCCGGGAGAAGGCAGGCTGGCTGGGCCATTGGTGGGAAGCCTGGCAGGGAGGAGGAGGTGACAGATCGTAGAGCCTGTGGCTGCCTGGGATCCATCCACACTCTCCAGCCTCAGGCTAGTTATCTGGTCTCTCCTGAGCCACATGGGAATCTCTAGGAGGAACTTCTCGGGGACGGGGCATGGCTGCTTCTGGGGCCGAAGGCGGGACTCTGTCAAGGGCAGAGATGGGGGCTCACTGTGGGTTCTGGGAAGGCAGATGGTACAAGACCATCCCCCTTGGCTCCTTTTTCTCAGCAGTCAGATCTCCGAGTCAGTAGCTGGAGATGCACCCAGGAGAGGAGAGAAGAGCCAGGAGCATGAGGAAGAGAGTGATTCTGGGGTGGGAAGGGGGCGGGATGGAGGGTCAGCACCACCCTCCGACCTGGCTCCATGACAGATGGACCGAGGCTGCAGCTCTGTTCCCAGGCCCAGGGGCTCCTGTGAGCCTTCCCTGCAGGCCCCTCCCCCACTCTCCTTTAGCTCCACTCCTGCCCAGTACCAGGCTGCGAGGGAGGTGAGGGCCCGTGAACCTGGCTGGACTCCCTGCACATTCACCAGCCCTGATGTCAGCAAGCAAGTGGAGGCCAACCTCCCACCAAGGCCTGGGGGCCCTGGCGCCTGCCCTTCCCACTCCAGTCTCCTGGCTCTGCCCCTACTGCTGCCCACCGTCGTCCTGCTCTGCTCTGAGTCTAGGCTGGATGCAGGATGCAGGACAAGCTTTCCCCAGCCCCCCTGCCAATGTCTCACAAAATCAAATCCACAGTTAGGGAAGTTACCATCTTTGGGCCTGAGGCGGGGAAACTGAGGCCCTAAGAGGGGCAGGGACTGGCCCAAGGCCACACAGCAAGG